>NC_000011.10:121717879-122020909 GCF_000001405.40 Homo sapiens | reverse complement strand
CTAATATTTTTGCAAAATATAGTTATTTTTCCATAAAAATATATTTTATGTTAGTCTACGGTGGGTTTATTGTTATTTTTAAATGAATACATATTTTTAAATGTTCAGTTTTAATGTCTAATGTGGAAAATATCAACAGATACAATGTACATAAACAAAGGTTCTTTGGGGTCCTCACTAACTTTGTGAGTATAAAGGAATCCTGAGACAGAAAAGTTTGAGAATCACTGTCTTAGTTCATTAAGCCTCAGAGTTGTTGACTCCTCAAGGTAACTTGCTTGAGATTCAAATATAGGCAGAGCCAAATTTCACCCAAAGTTTCCTGATAAGGAAACCCAGTAGTCACTATAATACGCCATACCCCAAGAGTAACAGAGCTCCCCATACGGAGGAGGGCTCTATGGTCACCTCTACCTTTTAACAGTTTGGTACTATTACAGGGCTCTGTATTGGTAGGTATACTTAACAAGACTCTACCTTTAACATGGTATTCAAGGCTAATCAATGTTTTCCAGCATCTTGAGTTTTATTCCAAGTGGCCGATCATTGTTGTACCAAATTTACATGCAGTTTTTGCCTTGTGATTAAGAAGAAGGACCTAGTGTTAATACTCTTAAGTCCTGGTTTCAAAGCCAAAACTGATTCCCATCATAGGTTTTAAAATATCAAGCAAGAATTCTCAGCCATTTGTAAGCCACTTTAAATACAGTTTTCAGGAGTTCAAGAAGTAATCCCTGAAGGAACTGGGTCAAGTTCTTCCCAGTCCTGTGTTCCTGTACCACAGATGGCTAAATTTCAGCCTTAAGAAAATACTTTGGGATACAAGAGCATACTTAAAGGAAGAAAATAAACAGAAACAGTCTTGCACAAACCTGACATATGAGGTCTCTCTTTGAATAAGCATTTGATACTTGACACTTGAGTATATGCCACTGAAACAAATTGGTTTTAAGTATGTAACATTCTGATTTAGGGTTCTCATCATTATCTTGGTAAAAAATTGACACCTGCTACATTGTCTTAAGACTTTTGTCTCAGAGGCTTCAGATTTTTACATATATATAAGCACATATATACTATGCATTTGCTTGGGTTGAATTGAAATCTCCAGTAGTAATTTGAAGAGTTTGACTTATGGGGCAATGGCACAGGTTTACATGCATTATGCAAAATTTTCTGCTAAATGCAATGGGCTTTTGGAAATTAAATTGGTTTATTTCAATCCATGCTTGTTTGACATAAATGTCACATGTATGCTAAATAACTATGTCTTTCTTCTAGTTCTGCTCCAATATTAATCCTTAAAATATTATCTCAGATAAGCTATGACTACACAATGCCAAATATCCATCTTGAAATAATAAAACTTGCTTTTATTATCCTGACATTCCCAAATCTGATATTTGACAAGATAGAGTTAAGTAACCTGATACTGTAGAAAAACAGAACTAAGCAAAGAAATGAAAATCATTTTGATCCAACCACATAGTATCACAGAACTAAATAATTTTACTCCAATATTTTGCTAAATTTAATCATTTCAACTAAATGTTATCAGATCAGTTTGTGTGTGGAGCACTGACCATTTTACTATTGAGATAATGTGAGAGGAAGATAGGGGAAACAAGCATGAAATATATGGGGCAAAGAAGATTAAACCCTCCTTTACGGAGGGGTCTGGGCAGAGCTTGCTGTCCAGCAATGAGCAGGGACTCAACGAAGGAGGCTGCCTCTGTGGTGCCTTCATTCCAGCAAGCACTGTGGATTTGGAAGAGAGGCAGCCAAGGTAGAAGATTGTATTAGGCAGGGTTCTCTTAAAGGGACAGAATTAATAGGAGAGATATATATTATATATATATAGGAGAGATATATATTATATATATATAGGAGATCTATATATTATATAGGAGATCTATATATTATATATATATAGGAGATCTATATATATGAGATATGTATATCCAGATATATATATATCTTTATTTAGTTTATTAAGTATATAATAGTTTATTAAGTATATATATAGTTAATATAAGTATATCTATACCTAATATAAGTGTATATATATACTTAATATAAGTATATATATACTTAAACTAAATATTATATATTATATATAGTATATATATTAAGTATATATATATACTTAATATAAGTATATATATACTAATATAAGTATATATACTTAATATAAGTATATATATACTAATATAAGTATATATACTTAATATAAGTATATATATACTAATATAAGTATATATACTTAATATAGGGATATATATATTGGGATATATATAGGGAGTTTATTAAGTATTAACATATATACATAAAGTATTAACATATATCCCAATATATGTATAATCTCTATATAATATATATAGGATATATATATATAATATATATAGGAGATATCTATTATATATATAGGAGATATATATAATATATATAGGAGATATATATTATATATAGGAGATATATATATCAGAGATATATATATCTCCTATATATATATAGGAGGGAGATATATATTATATATATAAGAGATATATATATCAGAGATATATATTATATATATAAGAGATATATATATCAGAGATATATATATAAGAGATATATATATCAGAGATTTATATATATAAGAGATATATATATCAGAGATATATATATCCCGATATATATATATATCAGAGATATATATATCCCGATATATATATATAGGAGATATATATATCCCGATATATATATCTTTTATTTAGTTTTATTGAGTTTATTAAGTGTATATATATACACATATATATACACTTATATATATACACTTATATATATATACACTTATATATACACTTATGTATATATATACACTTATATATATACACTTATGTATATATATACACTTATATATATACACTTATGTATATATATACACTTATATGTATACACTTATGTATATATATACACTTATATGTATACACTTATGTATATATATACACTTATATGTATACACTTATGTATATATATACACTTATATGTATACACTTATGTATATATATACACTTATATGTATACACTTATGTATATATATACACTTATATATATACACTTATGTATATACACTTATGTATATATATACACTTATATATATACACTTATGTATATATATACACTTATATATATACACTTATGTATATATATACACTTATATATATACACTTATGTATATATATACACTTATATATATACACTTATGTATATATATACACTTATATATATATACACTTATGTATATATATACACTTATATATACACTTATGTATATATATACACTTATATATATATACACTTATGTATATATATACACTTATATATATACACTTATGTATATATATACACTTATATATATACACTTATGTATATATATACACTTATATATATACACTTATGTATATATATACACTTATGTATATATATACACTTTATATACACTTATGTATATATATACACTTATGTATATACACTTATGTATATATATACACTTGTATATATACACTTATGTATATATATACACTTGTATATATACACTTATGTATATATATACACTTGTATATATACACTTATGTATATATATACACTTGTATATATACACTTATGTATATATATACACGTGTATATATACACTTATGTATATATATACACGTGTATATATACACTTATGTATATATATACACTTATATATACACTTATGTATATATGTATATATACGCACTTATTTATATACACTTATGTATATATACGCACTTATATATATATACACTTATGTATATATACGCACTTATGTATATACACTTATGTATATATACGCACTTATGTATATACACTTATGTATATATACGCACTTATGTATATACACTTATGTATATATACGCACTTATGTATATACACTTATGTATATATACGCACTTATGTATATACACTTATGTATATATACGCACTTATGTATATACACTTATGTATATATACGCACTTATGTATATACACTTATGTATATATACGCACTTATGTATATACACTTATGTATATATACGCACTTATGTATATACACTTATGTATATATACGCACTTATGTATATACACTTATGTATATATACGCACTTATGTATATACACTTATGTATATATACGCACTTATGTATATACACTTATGTATATATGCACTTATGTATATACACTTATGTATATATATGCACTTATGTATATACACTTATGTTTATATATGCACTTATGTATATACACTTATGTTTATATATGCACTTATGTATATACACTTATGTATATATACACACACACACACATATATATATATACACTTAATAAACTCCCTATATATATCCCGATATATATATATATATATATATCGGGATATATGTAGGGAATCGGGATATATATATAGGGAGTTTATTAAGTATTAACATATATATATAAAGTATTAACATATATCTATTGGGAGTTTATTAAGTATTGACATATTTATATATAAAGTGTATATATATATATATATATATAGGGAGTTTATTAAGTATTAATTTACATGATCACAAGGTCCCACAATAGGCCATCTGAAAGCTGAGGAACAAAGAGAGCCAGTCCATGTCCCAAAACTGAAGAATTTGGAGTCTGATGTTCAGGAAGCATCCAGCAGGAGAAAGATGTAGGCTAGGAGGCTAGGCCTGTCTTGCCTTTTCACATTTTGCTGCCTGCTTTATATTTGCTAGAAGCTGATTGGATTGTGTGCACCAGATTAAGGGTGGGTCTGCCTTCCCCGGCCCACTGACTCAAATGTTATTCTCCTTTGGCAACACCCACAAAGACACACCCAGGATTAATACTTCTGTATCCCTCAATCCAATCAAGTTGACACTCAGTATTAACTATCACAAGTCCACCCCTTGTCATCTTGAACCCATACACATCTCCTGAGATCATACATAGTCTTCAAATAAAGACAATAATGAGGTCATAGTTACACCTAACATAATACAACTATCCTTTGTACAACCAGAAACATACCAATCCCCAACCTAAATACTATTACATAAAGTTAACAATACTTCAATGCTGATATGAAGTCAATAAATCTTATGTCACATGATAAAGGAAAAGGAAATAAAATGAAGATATGTTCTTAGTACAAGTGTATGCATGCACAAACATGTTTTTAACAAAAGAAGGAGGAAATACTCATGACAGTTACAGTCCTTGTTTCTGCAGCTGGTCACATGGTTATAGCTGGTATTGATTACTACCTTCTTCTACTACCCATTCTGTATTCCCTTTACCTTCAGCAAGCACCTCAGCAGGTCATGGTTTTTTTCCTGGTGGAGTGACCCAAACCTTCACTCCTGAAGGGTCTGGGTCATTTGTAGTCCTGTCTGGATTGTGCTGTTGTAGTTTCCCATTGACTTTAATCACAGGGTATGGTAATACTAAGAGACACCCTAATGGATCTCCTGTATTCCACATATACTCTTCTTTACTTCTGTTGTGGAGTAGTAGACTGATTTCATCTTCATAGTACAGGTCAATCACCCCAGCCAACATTGTATCTCCCTTCTTCTTAGCCTGTTGACTTAAAGGTAGGAGGAGCCCAGAGTGTCCAGGTGGCAATCTTAACTTCCAGTTTAATGGAATAATTGTTGTGTCTCCTGGTGGTGGCAGCATTCCTCCCTCTGGAACTAAGACCTCTAGGCTAGCAGAACATAATGTTGCAGGCACAGGATGCAAAATTTTGCTAGTGGTTCACTAGGGGTGATGGTGAGTGGTGCCACTTTCCCTTCCCCGCTTTGATTCCTGGGCCCACGAATCCTGGCTATGGGAGAAACAGTGCCATATACTGGACACTGATTCGGAGCATACATGGCCTTCTGGATAACTTTGCCCCAGCCCTGCAAAGTATTGTCACCTAGTTGGCATTGTAATTGTGACTTCAAAAGGCCATTCCACTGTTCTGTCAATCCAGATGCTTCAGGATGATAGGGAACATGGTAAGACCAGTGAATTCAGTGAGCATGAGCCCACTGCCACACTTCTTTACCTGTAAAGTGAGTGCCTTGGTCAGAGGCAACACTATGTGGAATACCGTAATGGTGGATAAGGCATTACGTGAGTCCATGGATGATAGTCTTGGCAGAAGCATTGTGTGCAGGATAGACAAACCAATATCTGGGGTGTCTATTCCAGTGAGGACAAACCTCTGCCCTTTCCATGATGGAAGAGGTTCAATATAGTCAACCTACCACCAAGTGGCTGGCTGATCACCCCAAGGAATGGTGCCATATTGAGGTCTCTGTGTTGGTCTCTCTGCTGGCAAATTGGGCACTCAGTAGTGACCACAGCCAGATCAGCCTTGGTAAGTGGAAGTCCATGTTTCTGAGCCCATGTGTAACTTTCATCCCTGCCATAATGGCCACTTTGTTCATGGGCCCATTGGGTGATGACAGGGGTGGCTGGGGAAAGAGGCTGAGTGGTGTCCACAGAATGGGTCATCCTATCCACTTGATTATTAAACTCCTCCACTGCTGAGGTCACCCGTTGGTTAAGTACTCACATGGGATACAAATATCTTCAGTTTTTGGCCATTCAGAGAGGTCCATCTGGGTAACCTTTCCCCAAATTTTTTTGGTCACCAATTTTCCAATTATGCTTCTTCCAAGTCCCAGACCATCCAGTCAAACCATTGACTACAGCCCATGAATCAGTATATAATTGCACTTCTGGCCATTTCTCCATCCATGCAAAGTGCACAACTGGGTGCACTGCTTGAAGTTCTGCCCACTGGAAAGATTTCCCTTCACTGCTGTTCTTCAGGGATGTCCTAGAAAGGGGCTGAAGTGCTGCAGCTGTCCACTTTTGGGTGGTGCCTGCATATCATGCAGAACCATCTGTGAACCAGGCCCTAGTCTTCTTTTCCTCTGTCAACTGATCACAGGGAACTCCCCATGAGGCCATCAGTACAGGCTGGGGGAGAGAAGGCAGGGTGGTGGCAGGAGTAGAGACCATGGACATTTGAGCCACTTCCTCATGTAACTTACTTGTGCCTTCAGTACCTGCTTGAGCCCAATCGCATATATACCACTTCCATCTAATGATGGAATTCTGCTGTGCATGACCCACTTTATGGCTAGATGGGTTAGAAAGCACCCGGTTCATGATAGGCAGTTCAGGTCATATGGTGACTTGATGACCCATAGTCAAGCATTCGGTTTCCACCAAAGCCCAGTAACAGGCCAAGAGCTGTCTCTCAAAATGAGAGTAGTTAATCTGCAGAAGATGGCAGGAACTTGCTCCAAAATCCTAGAAGCCTCTGCTGCAATTCACCTATGGGAGCCCGTCAAAGGCTCCAAACAGCATCCCTATCTGCCACTGACACCTCAAGCACCAATGGATCTGCTGGTCATATGGCCAAAGTGACAGAGCAGCTTGCGCAGCAGCCTGTACCTGCTGCAGAAACTTGTCTTGTTGTAGACCCCATTCAAAACTGGCAGCCTTTCAGGCCACTCAAAAAATGGGCCAGAGTAACAACTCAAATGAGGAATATGTTACTTCCAAAATCCAAATAGGCCCACTAGGCATTGTGCCTCTTTCTTGGTTGTAGGAGGGGCCAAATGCAACCACTTATCCTTTACCTTAGAAAGAATATCTCGACAGGCCCCACACCACTGGACTCCTAGAAATTTTACTGAGTTAGAAGATCCCTGAATTTTAGTCAGATTTATTTCCCATCCTCTGGCATGCAAATGTCTCCCCAATAAGTCCAGTGTGTTTGCTACTTCTTGCTCACTGGATCCAATCAGCATAACGTCATCAATGTAATGGACCAGTGTGATATCTTGTGGAAGCAAAAAGCGACCCAGGTCTCTCTGAATAAGATTATGACACAAAGCTGGAGAGTTGATATACCCCTGAGGTAGGACAGTAAAGATACATTGCTGGCCTTGCTGCTGAGGGCAAATTGCTTCTGGCGGACCTTATGGATAGGAATGGAGTAAAAACATTTGCTAAGTCAATGGCTGCATACCAGGTACCAGGAGATGTGTTAATTGTTCAAGCAATGAAACCATGTCTAGTACAGCAGCTGCAATTGGAGTCACCGCTTGGTTAAGCTTCCAATAATCCACTGTCATTCTCCAAGATCCATCTGTATTCTGTACAGGCCAAATCAGGGAGTTGAATGAGGATGTGGGAATCACCACCCCTGCATCTTTCAAGTCCTTGATGGTGGCACTAATCTCCTCAATCTCTCCAGGGATGCGATATTGTTTTTGATTTACAATTATTCTAGGTAGAGGTAGCTCCAATGGCTTCCATTTGGCCTTTCCCACCATAGTAGCCCTCAGTCTGCCAGTCAGGGAGCCAATGTGGGGGTTCTGCCAGCTGCTAAGTATGTCTATGCAAATTATGCATTCTGGCACTAGGGAAATGATCACAGGATGAGTCTGGGGATCCACTGTAAGTAAGACCTGAGCTAAAACTCCATTAATTACCTGACCCCCATAAGCCCCTACTTTAACTGGAGGACCATAATGATGTTTTGGGTCCCCTGGAATCAATGTCAGCTCAGAGCCAGTGTCCAGTAGTCCTTGAAATGTTTGATCATTTCCCTTTCCCCAGTGCACAATTACCCTGGTAAAAGGTTGGAAGTTTCCTTGTGGAAGGATGGGAGAAAGATCCACTGCATAAATTGTTGGTAATGTAGTAGGGTCCTTCCTCAAGGGGACCTGGCCTCCCCTTCATTCAAGGAGTTCTGGGTCTGTAAACTGGCTCAAGTTTGGAAATTGATTGAGGGGCTGTGATTCTCTGTTTTTATAATTTAAATTAATGTTTTTTCCATTCAACCTAGAAGTTTTCTGTTTGTACAATTTAAGTAGGAATGTAGTAGGCTTCTTATTAATTTCACTTCTGAGAACACTGTGATTAATTAGCCAATGCCAGAGCTCTACATGAGTCAGACTATTCTGATTGCTGCTGCCTCTGCTGTCCATTATGGTAGTCATGCCCACCTTGACTTTGATAGTTAAGTGCTGCCACTTGGGATCCAATTATTCCCATTGTATTTAAATTTTGTAGTTGAGTGGCTGCATTTCTCACCATTAGATGTGACATACAGAGAAGAGCAATTACAGAGCTCTTCAAAGATGCAGGTACTGCCCTCACAAATCTATTTCGCAAGGCATTGGTCAAGGGTATATCTTCTGAACCCTCTGGGATGAGTAGGTCTAAAGTGACTAATCCACTCCACTATCCCAATCTCCCTAAGCCTTTGGATCCTTTCCTCTGCATTAAACCGAGGGAGATCAGGCATTTCCAGCTCACTCACAGTGGGCCATCTTATAATCTTTGTTTCGGCTAACCAAGCAAACAAACTATTAGAACCTTTTTTAACTCCCCAAGCTGCAACATTAAATGCAGAGTCCCTACTTAGTGGGCCCAAGTCAATAAATTCAGCCTGATCCAACTCTGTGTTCTTTCCCTTATACCTTAATATCCATTCATTTCATTTCATACCTTGAAATGAATATGAATAATATTCATATCATTTCATACCCTTAATATCCATTCCTGTGCCTGTGCTCCAGATTGCTGTTTATATAAATTAGAGACCTCAAACAGTTCGTTTTGAGTGTAGCGTACCTCCTCATGGGTCACAATCTCAACCTCACCTCCAGGGGCCTGTTTGGGACTTTAGTCTAGTTATAAGTCTAGAAGCAAACAGGGGTGTTGGCGTGGCTCCTGAGGAGAATCAACATTATTTAGCCTGGCAACTGCCTCAAGGGAGGCCATCACTGTTGCCTCAGGCAGCGCAGGGTTTATCTCCTCAGACAGAGGTGGAAATGCTGATGGTAGCATGGGTAAGGGAGGGGATGTTGCCATTACTGGGGATGGGGAAGCTGTTCCTTCTGGCAAAAAAGTTTCGTCAGGTTTTACAAACTCAGTGTCCCCAGCTTCATCAGGGTCCTCCCACACATCCCCATTCGCAAGCTTCAGAATCCCAATCTTTTCCAATCAATGCCCTCACTTTAACAGTAGACACCTGTTGAGGCTGTGCATGCACCTTTCATTGCAGGTCAGCCACTCGCATGATAAAAGCTTATGTCTTCTTCCACAATTTCAGCTGTTTCTCTACAGGAGATAAGACTCTCACTCAGGGCAATCTTAGCATATTTGAGGCTCAGTATCTGCTTCTGAAACTGGGAGACAGAATCCCTGAGTTCATCATTTTCTTTCATCACTTTGTCACTGAACTTAGGAGCAACCAACCAGGTTGATTATGTTCCTTGATTCTCCACATATGGTCGAAGGTATTATGCATAGAGTCACTAAACTCCTTGCCTCTCATGAGCAGTGAATCCCGAGTGTCAAATGCATTTATTTTACATAACTCTCTACATAGTTCATGCCAAGGACTATCAGTGTTCTGCATACTATTAGAAGTAGAGTCCTTAGCATTTTTGGGTCAATCATATTAAGCAGCCAATTCCAGAAACCCTAAAACCAATGAAAGAACTCTATCCTTAGTATTCTGTTCCTCTAGAACCACTCCTGGTACCAAAATCTGTATTAGTCAGGGTTCTCTTAGAGGGACAGAACTAACAGGAGGCATATATATGAAGGGGAATTTGTTAAGTATTAACTTACATGATCACAAGGTTCCACAATAGGCTGTCTGCAAGCTGAGGAGCAAGGAGAGCCAGTCTGAGTCCCAAAACTGAGGAACTTGGAGTCTGATGTTCAAGGGCAGGAAGCATCCAGCACTGGAGAAAGATGTAGGCTGGGAGGCTAGGCCCATCTTTCATTTTCACATTTTTCTGCCTGCTTTATATTTACTGGAAGTTGATTAGATTGTGTCTACCAGATTAAGGGTGGATCTGCCTTCCCCAGCCCACTGATTCAAATGTTAATCCCCTTTGGCAACACCCATGCGGACACACCCAGGATTAATACTTCCGTATCGCTCAATCCAATCAAGGTGCCACTCGGTATTAACCATCACAAAGATCTAACTACTAAAGACAAAGCTGAGGATTCTCCATTCCCAGGCCATTCCGTTCTCCATTCCAGTTTCCCAGGCCAATGACTCAGTTCCTACTGGACACCCTTTTGTGTTGAATGAATGATCCATTCATTCACTCCAGATCACTACCTTCATCTAAGACTTGGAAATTCAGGCAGTAGATCATACTGCAACATCCATAATCCACTTGCACTGTGTACTGGCTTATCTTGACCTAGAAAAGTATCTAACTTAGATAGTTCTTGGGACATATCCCCATACAGAACAAACAGGCTGGCCATATGAAAGCAATCTTCTATAATAAAAGCTGGCCAGACTTGAGATAGACCCTCAAAATTTTTGAGGCATTTAAGTATTCTAAGATTTCTATATAATTCTCTTTTTGTTCTTCCTAGAGTTTGGCTTCACTGTTCCCCTTCTCTAATGAGCCCTACAATATTCAAAGGATGTTCAAAGTTAGCCATTTTCAGATAAATTTGGAAAAAAGTGAAGCCATATCATATTCCCAAGCTCTACGTTTTTATGTGGGCCAACTGGACCACAACATGGATTTGGTTTAATGACTCAATTAAATAATTTACATCTGTGTGGCCTTGGCCCTTGTCTCAAATGGGTAAAAATAAAAATCTAAATGGAGCTTTAAGGATAATCAGTGCTGGTAAATTGCCAAAAAATGATCATGCTTACTCAAATCTCCCTAATGACATGGAAAGATTGATAATTCATGCATTTTTGTAGTTTAACTCAGCAAATAAATCATTCAATCCACGTTTATTGAGTGTCTATCACAAGCTAGTTTCTGAAAATAAGAGGTAAGTTAAAGATAGACCTATCTTAAAGAGCTTGTAGCATAAGCAGGAGACACAAAAGCAAATATAACTTCCTATAAATGTGATATATGCCAAGATGTAGGCATGCACAGGTGCTCTGTGAACACAGAGGGTAACAATATTTTTCTTATAATTAACAAGCATATATATACACACATATATATTATATATGTACTATATATTTATACACATATATACTATATATGTACTATATATTTATATACATATATGCCATATATGTACTATATATTTATAATATATATAATATATTGTACTATATATGTACTATATATTTATATATCACTATATATGTTGTAGTGGTATGTATGTGGGTGTGTGTGGGTGGGTGTGTATACTCAGCACAGGGCACTATATAGATATATGTCATATACCTATATATAAGAAACAACAAAGCCACTTCCCAAATATTTCTTTCTTTCTTTTTCTGCCCAGTATGCAATGCTTCCTGTTTCTCTAGTAATGAAAATGTGTTCATTTGTCAAATGGAAAGTTATATATATAGTGTATATATATATTGCCCTGAGTATACACTATATGGCTATATAATATATATACATTATATATGTGTGTGTGTATATATGTGTGCATATATACTGGGTGTGTGTATATATATATACACACAGACACACATATATATATATATATATATATATATCTATATATATATATATATATATATATATAGTGCCCTGTGCTGAGTACTCAGAAGAAATAGCCTAAGAATTCTGGGAGCCACCTTGTTACTTCCTAATTCTCTGTTGCCAAGGCTGCAATGATTAATCTTCAGAAAAGCTACAGTTTAGCACCTGTTGAATGATATTAGAGGAAATCATCTGTGTTGCAAATAGAGAATATGTTAGGGAGGCTGGACTCAAATGAATCCAGGTTTTGATATCTTTCTCCTTCTGCTTTAGCAGACAAATAATCTGTTGCAACTTTGCTGCTTCTCTTCCATAGCTTGGCTCTGTTCCCGTGCACCATTTTGTTCTAGGGGATGCCTAAACTGATTCTTCAGTGTTAGCCAAAACAAATGAGGAGCTTGGCTCTCGGTCTGGTCGCAGCAGCTGCTGTGATTGAAGTTCTCTGCACCTAAGACAGTGGGGCAGCTTTCCATTTGACAGATGAACACATTTTCATTACTAGAGAAACAGGAAGCATTGCATACTGGGCAGAAAAAGAAAGAAAGAAATATTTGGGAAGTGGCTTTGTTCTTATATCAATTGTGGTTATTGTTCAGCTGAAATGCTGGTGAGGAGGTTGATGGTGTGGGAGCCTGATACCCGTGCCTCAGGCTTCTTCCCATTAGACTGTAACTGTGAGATGACAGCTGTATGGTTTCTTGACCTCAGGTTGCCTCAGCCAGAAAAATTATTTGCAGATCTGCTCTGGGAGGCAGTTTCTGTTCATGTATGCAGCAAAGGGCACAAAGAGGCCAGGAGGTCTAGGGAAACTCACATATCAAGGAAAGGGAAAGAAACATGTGGCTGTTTCCATTTGTTTAGTCATACAATGGAGCTAAACTGTAAAGTGGGTATTTGAAGGCCTTCAAAATGACTACTCCATACTACTATGATGGACTTCATTGCAGTGGGACTGGATAACGATTCTTCAGAGAACAGAACACATCTCCAGTAGGGCAACCTTGTGACAGAGTTTCCTTCACCACTTCATACTCAGAAGGCATTTTAGTTAAAATGGTGGCTTGGGAGGCATCCTTGATTCCAGGTTTTATGTGTTGAGTCCACAGATAAATGTTGGTACCATTCACAGATATAAGAAATCCAAGAGGCAGAGGGAAGAAAAGCAGAGGAAGATAATAAGAGAATGCATAAACCTAAGGTGTGAAGTTGCAAATGGAATGTTAAAATTTAGTGTAAGTATTGAGAGATGTTTTCAGGGCTGAGAGGAGTCTAGAGTCCTCACTGATATGTGATTTCTAGACCATGTAAACTATATTTACAATGATCACTATTTAAAAAAAAATGCCTACCACATATTGTATGGAAGAAGTTGGATTTCCAGTCAAAGAAATTAAAATATATTGAATAACCACTACCTGTCAGACACTGTGCTAGGTGCTTTATATAAGGACATACCGATAGCAGCACAAAATACGGGCACTAGATCCTTTGTTACATACATACAGAAGCTGAGGTTTGGGCTGTCCAAGGTCACATGGTTAAGTGAGGAAGCAAGAATTCCAACCTAGTTCCTGGTAACTTCAAAGGTTTCTGTGCATTTGAACAGTTCTTATTCTACACGCATGTCCCTGGGCTTTCCCACCTATATCCGCATCAGACATTTTTAATAACTTTTAGCACTCTTTCCTTCTTGGCCTGGACAGAGTCACAGATCTCTCCACATAGGACTCTGGGCTGCTAATAATTGATGGGAGTTGGCATGCAAGGTGAATCGTATTGGCAATCATTGTGTCTTTGCCAATGGGTATGAGGTGGGGAACTAGTTTTGCTCTCATATATTTTTATTAAAGACTTGTAATATAGCTCACTACACATTGTCTTATCATTGTTTACATCTCTGTTATGTTCATTAGTGGGTTCATTGAGGACTCACTGGGACTGTCTCCCACTTTTGCATGCTCGTCACATTACATACATAATGCTATTCTCTGGTCTTTAGGAAAAGGACTCAGATTTGCTCATCTGAAGCATCTTCAGATTCCTTCCTGACAGTCCATGTTCATTTTAAAAGCATTTGATGAGGTCTTATTTGTTGTGGTGACTATGATGTCATAAACGTTATGGGACTTGGTTAAGGTTCTGCAGTACATAAGTCACAAAACCAAGAAAAACCCAGTTTTCTGTTTTCCAGTGAACTGTTTCCTCTTAAACACCAAGATTATAAAAATCTCATAGAGGCCTAAATTTCAGTTAAAGCTTTCTAGGATTCTGTATGTGTTTGCCAAGCCAGTGGAGTTTTGTTTTAGTAAAATTACTGCAGCTAGAATAAGCTTTTGATAGCCCCCTCCCACCTTATTTTAATTCCTTTATTTATTTATTTATTGATACGGAGTCTTGCTGTGTTGCCCAGGCTGGAGTGCAATGGCACCATCCCGGCTCACTGCAATCTCTACCTCCTGGGTTCAAGCGATTCTCCTGCCTCAGCCTCCCGAACAGCTGGGATTATAGGCAAGTGTCACCACGCCTGGCTAATTTTTGTATTTTTAGTAGAGATGGGGTTTCACTGTGTTGGCCAGGCTGGTCTAGAATGGCTGACCTCATGATCCACCCGCCTTGGCCTCCCAAAGTGCTGGGATTACAGGTGTAAGCCACCGTGCCTGGCCCTTTTATCTTTTCTTATCTCTAAATTCGCTTTTATCTTTACTCGGTGCAAGTAAATCTGTTCTGAAGTACAGTCAATGATATTTTGCAAGGGAAACATTATGTGCAAATGCTACTTCCTATAAGCAAGAAAATTATGTGTGTGAGTTGCTAGATTTTTCAATCTCTCAATTTTCTGATTGGCGATAAAAATATCAGTACTTACCTCACAGAATTATTATGGAAATTAAATCAATCATTTAATTAATTTATTAAGTAATTTTATATAAATAGGTTAGTTCATATATAATAGGCATTTACCAAATGTTAGCTCTTATTACTGTTAATACTAACATGATTTGCTTAAGGAATGACAGAAAAAAGAAAAAGTACTACCACCATGACTCTACGCTCTACAGTATTATTATTTTCAGATCTGTGATCCCTTCTTACCATAGATTAGTGATTACAGAACAGTTTTGCTTTGATATTTCTCTATGCATCAATCTGTAATCAAGCAAGTCAAGGTCAACTATCATGCTTGCCATGCCCATGGCCTTTCCTCAGGGAAACCACCTTGTAGACATCTCTTGCTGAGGGATTAAAAAGAGCATTCCTGGACATACATAGTCTCAACCAAGTGGTCCTGCTTCTCACCTCACCAAATGAGGCCATGGGTGAGCAAATGGCTTGAGAGGAGCCAGTGCCCAGGCTCGCCAGTGGCCTGTGAAATCTCTAAATCTCTGCTCAGGAACAAGCTAATCTGATAAGATTCTCTCAACTCTGCAGTTATGCTTTGGAATTGTGGAGAAGATTAGGTTATTAACAGTGTGAGCCGAATTCTGAAAGGAGTCACAGAAAGACTCCATGAAGTAGAGTGAGGGCATATGCTGGAGTTATGAGAAATGGAAAATTACTTAGTAGAAGACATGCTTAGCAGAAAAAACTAGCAGAAGCCATGAGGGCACATTTGCTGCTTATGATGACAATCTCCTGATGAACTCCTGTTAAAAATCCCATGCACCTGTGTCCCTCATCCCAACTCTGAGGCTTCTTTTGGAGGTCTCTGAATACTCAGCTGCTTTTCTCATGTCATGTTGTGGCTTGAGGGACTCAAAGCTGTCCTCTGACCCATCTGTTGATTTCCTCAGCAGTTGCTACTCTACCACCCAAATGCCATATTGGACCTGGGGTTTCTCTGTGAGGCTTGCAGTCTTCCAGACTGCATAGAGCGAAAGAGAAAATGGTACATTCCTTTTCTTTTTAATATGGAACGCTTCACGAATTTGCGTGTTATCTTTGCGCAGGGTCTGTGCTAATCTTTACATTCTATTTTGAAATGCTCCCAGATCATCTGAAATTTCTATCAGGGGCTCTAGTGTTCCTATGATCTCCAACCACAGCTGGGACCCAGGCCACGTCTCAGAGACTACAGAGCACCCCACTAATTCACCTTTTCCCCCTTCTGTTCCAGTTAATAAATTCTAGTGTCACTGCATCATCTTCCTGACTCTCTGGCTTATGGTATACATGGTGGGGTGTTTGGTTTGGTTTGTTTTTGTGGTTGTTTCAGAGTATGCAATATGCATTTATGACTAATCCAAGTTCATTTTTAAATAACACTATACCACTTCATCAGTAGATGAAGTACCTTATAGTAGAGGATTCCCAGTACCTAACTCCCATCTATTACAATGTTATTGTCATTTTTTTCACTTATCGACAAGCTCTACTCTGAACACATTGTCACTATTATTATTTTGAACAAACTATTATCATTTGATGAATTAAGAATAAGAAAAATGAAAGATTTTACTTTACCTTCATTTATTCCTTTTGTAATGTTCTTCCTTCTTCATGTAGATCTGAGTTTCTGACCTCTATCATTTTCTTTCTCTCTGAAGAACAACTTTTAACTTTCTTATAAGATAGATCTACTGGCAACAAATTCCCTCAAATTTTGTTTGTCCAAGAAAATCTTTCACTCTCCTTTTGAAGGATAATTTCATTGCATAAAGAATTGTACTTTGTTGGGTATTTTGCTTTCTTTTAATACTTTACATATTTTATTCCACTCTCTTCTTGCTTGTTTGTGAAGAGAAGTCTGATATAATTCTTATTCATATTCCTCTATAGGTTAGGTGGGTCCCCCCAGCCCCTAGCTTCTTTCAAGAGTCTGTTTTTCTTTTCTTTTTTTTTATTTTTGCAGCTTGAATATGATATGCTGAGGTGTAGGGTTTTTTGTACTTTATCAAGTTTGGTGGTTTTCTGAATTTCTTAGATTTGTGGTTGGAGCCTATTATTAATTTTGGGAAACTCTCAGCCAGTATTACTTCCAATATTTCTTCAGTTCATTCCTCTCTTTCTTCCCCTTTTGTTATTCCTATTACACATATGTTACACCTTTTTAAATTGTCCCACAGTTCCTGTATATTCTGTTCCATCTTTTTCATTTTTTTTCCTCTGCATTTCAGTTTTGGGAATTTCTATGATCTATCTTCAAGCTCACTGATTTTTTCCTTGGTCATATCCAGTCTACTGATCAAAGGCATTTCTTATTTCTGTTACAATGTTTATTATTCTTAGCATTTTCTTTTGATTATCTTCTCAGAGTTTCCATCTCTGCTTACATTACCCATCTGTTCTTGCTATACTATGTTTTGAATCTTCTAGGCCTTGGCACTTTCACATTTAAAGCCAAGGAAGTAAAATAATTCTATTTCAAGTAGTTGGTACTTGCAATAAAAGACACGGCTTTTAAGGACTTTTTCCCTGCTTTAGATCTACCCAAATATACAGAAGAGCTCCAAAGAGAGGCATTTAACTCTTCGTCTGCCATCAGCTCTACTTTGAAGACAGCACTATAGCAAGTTGTTGAAGCTGCTTGCATCATTAGAGAACGGGGAAAATGAGATTAAATAGACATCAATATTAAAATATCCTCCTACTGTGTTTTGCTTCTTAAGGGGTTTGTAAAACTTGGAACATAGAACTCACATTGCACTGGCCCAGCCAAAGGGCAAGACAGTCCTGACCAATCCTGTGAAGGTGACAGAAGAAGCCCTCCACCCCCAGCCTGATAATTATTTTTACAGGTTAATTTACCCATTGATTTGGCCAATCGATTCAAACCCTGGTGGTCATGATGAATAAAAGGAAACCCAAACATACTCACCCCACTTCTGTTTAAAAATTAGATAAATTTGATATTGTACTTGGGGCTGAGAAAAACTAACTGAGTTGACAGCTAACCAAAAACTCCAAAGAGAAAAAAAAAATCTATATAGAGCAAAATAATCTAGATAGAGCAAAATAATCTAGTCTGTAATTCTGTATGTTATTCCCCTAGTATGTTGATTGTGTAGCATCAATGTCATCTATTTTATATGGGAATGTTACTGACTATAATGCTTCTGTTGATATTTCAAAAAGATTCTAATCTCATTTCAGTAATAGCTTCTGTCACTCCCAGCGACACATATGCCATAACATTCTTGGTTAAATTGACAGAAATATTAATGTGCTCAGATTTTATATTATTTGACCCACTATATGTCTCTTCCTTAGTATTAAATTACCTTTGTTTTCTACACAGTGTCAGAGCCTGGCTGCCCAATCCCAATGCATTTGGAGATTATTCACTAGGGACATTGGCCTTGTCATCTCTGCGTGATTTTGTTCTTCTCTAACAGAAGATCTTTTTAAAGCCCCATGACTTTTCCTCTCTAAATCTTATAATTTTCCATCTTCTGTGACCCAAAGAACTTGGTTTTTGTCTTACTCCTCATGTTCATTTTATTTCATTAAAATTATTACCTCTCGGAACTGGGATGGATTTATGGCCCAGGCCTAAATCTGATGTTTGGAACTGTCCTATGCTTTCCCTACCAATTTCCGAGTCTATTCTTGAACTCATTGCCTTCCAAGAAGCATTTGCCTTTCTGCACTAAATATCCCCTGTTCTTTCCATCATTCATCATAGAAAATGGTTTCAAATCCCTTTATCATCTAGTTGGTATCTCACTATGTGTTTGGGTTACATAGTGAGCAACATTTTGGAAGAGGTGTTACCCATGAAATGTCCACCCCTTGGCATGAGAGTCCATATAGGAATGACTATGAGTAATGGCTATCTCTGACACTTTCTAAATGTAAATGGGGTTTTAGAAAAGTAAAAAAATAAAAGATGTTAAGCGGGAGTGACTTAATTCATACAATATAATAAAACAGTATTTAATTTTCTATAAATTTGATAATGAACATATTGATATGCCATAAAGCAGTGATAAGCAGTACCAAGGTCAGTGTCTGGCACCTAGACAGTACTCAGTAAATATTTGTTAATAAATAATAGACATTTGTATATGAATTTCAAATTTCCCATCCGCTAAATATTGGTGCAAAGCCATAGGAATGCTATGAAAGGCTGGAAGAATTTTCTAGGAGATTTGATGATGGTTTCAGTCTACAGGGGTATTGGGGGAGGCAATCATGTTGGAAAGAGGAACTAGAGGGTTTCTCTTAAAACTCTGCATAGGAATTATTTTTGCCTATATTATACATGACAAATCAGTTAAGGTAGTGAGGTTTTCTTTTGTTATTATTATTATTCCAATAGCTTTTGGAAAATAGGTGGTGTTCTGTTACATGGATAAGTTCTTTAGTGGTGATTTCTGAGATTGGTGCACCCATCACCTGAGCAGTGTACACTGCACCCAATGTGTAGTTCTCTATTCCTCATCGCCTCCCACCCTTTCCCCCCATTCCCCCAGAGTCCGTTACATCATTCTTATGCCTTTGCATTCTCATAATTTAGCTCCCAGTTATAAGTGAGACCATATGATGTTTGGCTTTCCATTCCTGAGTTACTTCACTTGGAATAATGGTCTCCAACTCCATCCAGGTTGCTGTGAATGCCATTCTTCCATTCTTTTTTATGGCTGAGTAGTATTCCATGGTGTATAAATACATACCACATTTTCTTTATACACTTGGTTGATGGGCATTTGGTCTAGTTCCATATCCTTGCAATTGTGAATTGTGCTGCTATAGAAAACATGTGCAAGTGTCTTTTTCATATAATGACTTCTTTTCCTCTGGGTAGATACTGAGTAGTGGGATTGCTGTATCAAATGGTAGTTCTATGTTTAGTTCTTTAAGGAATCTCCATACTGTTTTTCGTAGTGGTTATACTAGTTTACCTTCCCACCAGCAGTGTAAAAGTGTTCCCTTTTCACCACATCCATGCCAACATCTATTGTTATTTGGATTTTAAATTATGGCCATTTTTTGCAGGAGTAATGTGGTTTCACATTGTAGTTTTGATTTGTGTTTCCCTGATAATTATTAATAGTGATGTTGAGCATTTTTTCATTGGTTTGTTGGACATTTGTATATCTTCTTTTGAGAATTGTCTATGTCCTTAGCCCACTTTTTGGTGTGTGTGGGTTTTTTTTTTTTCTTGCTGACTCATTTGAGTTTCTTGTAGATTCTGGATAATAGTCTTTTGTTGGATGCCTAGTTTGCAAATATTTTCTCCCACACTGTGGGTTGTCTTGGGTGATGTGTGAGTAAAAGAAGTTCTCTAAAGATACTTTTACACATAGAGCACCTAAGATTAAGAGATGACCCATTGTCAATATTAGAAGTGATTATTTTTATTTAGGGTAGCTTTGGAAGGTGAGGGAGATTCTGGAAAGTTTAGGGCCATCCTCTCATCAAGACAGCTATTGGAGCCACTATTACTCAGATTTCTCACGTTATTGTTTTTGTTGCTCTAGGTAATTCTGCATTGGGTTTACGATGTTCACAGATGCCAAAAACTGTGAAAGAAGGTTTCAGTCTCTGTGATGCAACTGTTTAACACTTGCTTGAATAGCAAGACTTTGTTAGTTGTGGTCATAGAGAAATACTTCTTTGTATATGTATTATGAAGTGTCTGCTACCAATTACCTTTTATTCTGGCAATGGTTTGTTCTCCCTAAGTGCCTCTGCATTTTTCTGTCTCTGTGTCTGTCTGTCTCTCCCTCAGATGCCTGACTCTTTGTTCTATCTGTATTGTATTTCCAGAAGGGAGGAATATTCTCCTTATTTTCAGCCAGAATTGGCCATTTTTAGGTTAAAAAATGTGCTCCCATCAGAAAAACATTTATCCAAAACACTTCTAAACATACTTCCTGCCTACAGCTGCTCAAGATTTTACCCTCTAATCATTTCAGGCCCATTAATCCCAAGACTACACATGTGGCATTTTTAAAGTATGGAATCCAGAACAGAACTCGATACCACAGGTGAGATCTGATCCTAGCCTTCTCTTTTCTTGAAAGGCATGTAAATTCCATTTGGGAAGATATTTTGAACTTGGAGAACTGATGACAGATTGACTTTATTAAGCACCTTCTGAAAAGAGAACATGTTCCACCTTGGAGGATCAACAGACTTATGGACAGCCTTGTAGAAGACAGAGACTTTACTCTAAAGAACTTTAATGTAAGGCAGAGCCAAAAACCAAGCCACTACTTGCTGCTAATCATAAAGCCATTATCAGATGAAATCCCTCCTACTGGTATTTGCGTGGCCATTGAAACATGAGAGATTTAGGTTTATAACGACATGCTTTATTCTGCAATACATATTTGATACATTTCTTATCGGTGTCTGATTATCCTGCAACACAATACATATTTGATGCATTTCTTATGGGAGCCTCTTTGGGAGCAGGTTGGGGAAAAGGAATGAATTAATAGTTGCTCAGGGATTACAATGCGCCAGCACTACCTCACTGAATTTTCAGCATTATCCTGTACATTCAGATTGTTATTCTTATTTTATGAATAAAGAAACTGAGTCTTAAAGAAAGAGTAAGCAGCACACATTTTAATTCTGGCAGAGCCAGGATTAAAACTTAAATGTTTTATTTTAAAACCCATGCTTTTTTCACCATAACATATTACCCAGGAGGCTGCCTGTGGGTAAAGTGAAAACTATGTTCTTGATATGACATTTGCAAATGTATATATTTTTAAGCCCTATAATACAAGACGAGTAACCTATAACTGAAACAGTTCATAATTCTTCATTGTTGCAATGATTCTAAATTGAAATATACTAGAACTTACCATGTTATTACAAAACAGATATCATCAAATTATTTTAGGAATTTATATCACCCCATTTTTCTTGGTATATCCCCTCTTCTCTGCATATCTTTTATAAACTGTTGGTGATTGAATAGACAGTCTTGCATCGTTCACACATGTACATTAATTAGGCATTCTTTTCACTCTCCTTTTCTCTCTAGAAATTCTATTTCTTCTACCGAAGTGGTGAATTCTTTCTCTCCTTTTCAGTGTTGACAGGTTGCTGGGGCAGAATCTTTGCATTTTTAGACACTTAAAGCAGATAGAAAACTTTGATGCAAAGAAATCTATGAATGTGCAAGAAATCATAGATAGTAACGTCTTAAGCATCCAATGTCTTACTTAAGCATCCAGTTTTTATCAGTGAGAAAATGAAGACCCAGAAAGGCCTATAAAGAGAATGTTACAGTAATACCTACCCTATGTAAGATGACTAGGACATTCCTTTTCCAAACTATGAGACTTTCAAGAGTGAAAAGAGGTGCCACCTGGATAGGATGGTGGGAAATAGATATTGGGACTGTCCCAGGCAAACCAAAACATATAGTTATTCTAAGCTCTTTGTAAATTTATGACAATGAAGTAAAATGGCATACTTCCAAGCACCTAGATTAATGCCGGGCACATATATAGAAAGTGCAGAGCAAATTTTGGTTAACTCTGCATCTGAAAGTCCAGTTGCCCAGAAAGTTAATGGAAGAGTTGTGAGCTAGGCGTGGTTTTTCTAACTTCTAAGGTTAAGAGTCAATAGTACCAAAAAACAAACAAACAAAAAAAAAACACAAAGTGACAACTAATCCTTAAGTTTTAGTTTTATTTTAATTTTTTGTTTTGTTTTACTTCTAATATAGCAAAACCACCTGTCATTTTATTCTTCCAATTTCATAGGTTGGCCAAATTATCCAGTGACTTTAGTACAGAAACACATCAATAGACAACTGTGCAGACTCACAAATACAGCAAGAAGGAAAGAAGTGACAAAGGGAGGGAAGAAGTAAGGGAGAAGGTTGTTAGAAGCAACTCTTTCCTAAGATGTAAGATTATGTGAAATCTGTATCCAGACAAGATGTTACATATTTTATATGAAGCTCCTCTGAAACTAGATTCAGTACCAACTTGTAACTTTAAAATACTGTGAGATTTACAGTTACCCTCATTCTACTATCATTTCATTGTATGAAAATTTCCTACATCTCTGTTTTAGTTGGAGATTTCTTCCTGGAGTACAGTTTGCTTTCAGGGCCCTTGAACTCACCCCTTCTCCACTTTTGCCATAAGGATAGCTGCACCATTCCTTAATTTATGGCAAACCACAAAGTGAGTGACCTAGTATCACTTGCTCCAGTGTTATGAGCACCCAAGAGTAGTTAAAAGGTAGTAGCTATATAAAATACCTTTCTAGGTTATGTCAGGTAGAAGCTCCAAGTTCTATGTTTTGATTCTCTCTGTCCAGAGTCAGAGAAGCATTCCTTCCCTACTTCCAAATCCAAAATATTGGCTTCCTCCAAGGTATTTCTCATTGAAATCTTATCCCTGGAAAGGCAGCACATGGACATATTCTGCTAATTGCCATTTGTCTGACAGCAATGAAATTTCAAACGTCATCCAGTCTTGAAATCTGTCCCTTGCCCAGACCTGTTTCAACTTTTTCACTCTCCCCTATTCTGACTGACTGGCCATTGCCAGCCCCGCTTGGAGGCTGGTTGTCTTCTAAGAACTAGAAGAGCTAAATCACCAGCTGACTTGCATTCCAGCTATCAAAAAGGCCAGCACAAGCTGTTCTCAATAGCTGCATACTGAGCCATCCCCAGTGAGTACAAGCCACTTACACAGAAAGCAGCCTCACTTTAGATATGTTCTGTTCTAGTTTTATTGCACTAGAAAAATAAAGAATCTGAATAATACTGATTAGTCACCCTAAAGCAAATTAATATAGAAAAAAAACTACCTTCCACTGTATAATTTGATTATGTAGTTCATGGAGGGATATGACTTGTCTAACTTATCCTTCCCCTCAAAATGACTACATTTTTTTTTATTATTATACTTTAAGTTCTAGGGTACATGTGCACAATGTGCAGGTTTGTTACATATGTATACATGTGCCATGTTGGTGTGCTGCACCCATTAACTCATCATTTACATTGGGTATTTCTCCTAATGCTATATCTCCCCCTCCCCCACCCCACAACAGGCCCTGGTGTGTGATGTTCCCCACCCTGTGCCCAAGTGTTCTTACTGTTCAATTCCCACCTATGAGTGAGAATATGCGGTGTTTGGTTTTCTGTCCTTGTGATAGTTTGCTCAGAATGATGGTTTCTAGCTTCATCCATGTCCCTACAAAGGACATGAACTCATCATTTTTTATGGCTGCATAGTATTACATGGTGTATATGTGCCACATTTTGTTAATCTAGTCTATCATTGATGGACATTTGGGTTGGTTCCAAGTCTTTGCTATTGTGAATAGTGCCGCAATAAACATACGTGTGCATGTGTCTTTATAGCAGCATGATTTATAATCCTTTGGGTATATACCCAGTAATGGGATGGCTGGGTCAAATGGTATTTCTAGTTCTAGATTCTTGAGGAATCACCACACTGTCTTCCACAATGGTTGAACTAGTTTACAGTCCCACCAACAGTGTAAAAGTGTTCCTATTTCTCCACATCCTCTCCAGTACCTATTGTTTCCTGACTTTTTAATGATTGCCATTCTAACTGGTGTGAGATGGTATCTCATTGTGGTTTTGATTTGCATTTCTCTGATGGCCAGTGATGATGAGCATTTTTTCATGTGTCTTTTGGCTGCATAAATGTCTTCTTTTGAGAAGTGTCTGTTCATATCCTTCACCCACTTTTTGATGGGGTTGTTTGATTTTTTCTTGTAAATGTGTTTAAGTTCTTTGTAGATTCTGAATATTAGCCCTTTGTCAGATGAGTAGATTGCAAAAATTTTCTTCCATTCTGTAGGTTTCCTGTTCACTCTTATGGTAGTTTCTTTTGCTGTGCAGAAGTTCTTTAGTTTAATTAGATCCCATTTGTCTATTTTGGCTTCTGTTGCCATTGCTTTTGGTGTTTTAGTCATGAAGTCCTTGCCCATGCCTATGTCCAGAATGGTATTGCCTAGGTTTTCTTCTAGGGTTTTTATGGTTTTAGGTCTAACATTTAAGTCTTTAATCCATCTTGAATTAATTTTTGTATATGGTGTAAGGAAGGGATCCAGTTTTAGCTTTCTACATATGGCTAGCCAGTTTTCCCAGCACCATTTATTAGATAGAGAATCCTTTCCCCATTTCTTGTTTTTGTCATTTGTCAAAGATCAGATGGTTGCAGATGTGTGGTATTATTTCTGAGGGCTCTGTTCTATTCCATTGTTCTATATCTCTGTTTTGGTACCAGTACCATGCTGTTTTGGTTACTGTAGCCTTGTAGTATAGTTTGAAGTCAGGTAGCATGATGCCTCCAGCTTTGTTCTTTTTGCTTAGGATTGTCTTGGCAATGTGGGCTCTTTTTTGGTTCCATATGAACTTTAAAGTAGTTTTTTCCAATTCTGTGAAGAAAGTCATTGGTAGCTTGATGGGGATGCCATTGAATCTATAAATTACCTTGGGCAATGTGGCCATTTTCACGATATTGATTCTTCCTATCCATGAGCATGGGATGTTCTTCCATTTGTTTGTGTCCTCTTTTATTTCATTGAGCAGTATTTTGTAGTTCTCCTTGAAGAGGTCCTTCACATCCTTTGTACGTTTGATTCTTAGGTATTTTATTCTCTTTGAAGTAATTGTGAATGGGAGTTCACTCATGATTTGGCTCTCTGTCTGTTATTGGTGCGTAGGAATGCTTGTGATTTTTGCAAGTGGATTTTGTATCCTGAGACTTTGCTGAAGTTGCTTATCAGCTTGAGATTTTGGGCTGAGACAATGGGGTTTTCTAAATATACAATCATGTCATCTGCAAACAGGGACAATTTGACTTCCTCTTTCCCTAATTGAATACCTTTTATTTCTTTCTCCTGCCTGATTGCCCTGGCCAGAACTTCCAAACCTATGTTGAATAGGAGTGGTGAGAGAGGGCATCCCTGTCTTATGCCAGTTTTCGAAGGGAATGCTCCCACTTTTTGCCCATTCAGTATGATATTGGCTGTGGGTTTGTCATAAATAGCTCTTATTATTTTGAGATACATCCCATCGATACCTAGTTTATTGAGAGTTTTTTGCATGAAGGGCTGCTGAATTTTGCAAAATGACTACATTTTTCTATCTTAATATTGAGGATTGTGCTCGCCTGTTTGTGCATCACCATAAAGAAATACTTGAGGCTGGTTAATTTATCAAGAAAAGACATTTCATTGGCTCATAGTCCTGCAGGCTGTACAAGCATGGCTCTGGTATCGGCTTATGGTGAGGGCCTCAGGAAGCTTGCGATCATGATGGAAGGCAAAGGAAGAGCAGGCGCGTCCCACAGTAAGAGCTGGAGCAAGAGATGGGGAAGGTATCATGCTCTTTTAAACAACCAGATCTGGCATCAACTCAATCACTGCCAAGAGGATGGTGATAATATTCATAAAGGATTCATCCCCATGGTCCAAACACCTCCACCAGGGCCCACCTCTAACACTAGAGATTACTTTTTTTTTTTCTTTTTTTTTTTTTTGACAGAGTCTTGCTCTGTCACCCAGGCTGGAGTGCAGTGGCGTGATTTCGGCTCACTGCAAGTTCTGCCTCCTGGGTTCACGCCATTCTCCTGCCTCAGCCTCCCAAGTAGCTGGGACTACAGGCGCCCGCCACCACGCCCAGCTAATTTTTTGTATTTTTAGTAGAGTCGGGGTTTCACTGTGTTAGCCAGGATGGTCTCGATCTCCTGACCTCATGATCCGCCCACCTCGGCCTCCCAAAGTGCTGGGATTACAGGCATGAGCCACCGCGCCTGGCCGGGGTTACATTTTAACATGAAATTTGGACTTTATTTTTAAGTCAAGTTCCATTGTTCTTCTCTCTCTGAATTATGTATGCAAACCATATCTAGGATTTTATTTCTAAGTCAAGTTCCATTGTTCTTCTGTCTCTGAATTATATCTTCATCTTTTCTCTATGATGATATGGTTTCTTCCAAGTACAACCAAAAAGAATGCCTGAAAATGAACAGTTAAAAATGAAAATGTATTTTTTTCATTGTGCTGTCTGTTTTACCAAACATATTGTTTCAGTTAGGATAGGATAGTTTAGGCTGTGGTAACAAATTAATCCTGAAATCCCAGTGCTTAACACACTAAAGCTTTATTTCTTGTTGTGAGACATTTTCAGTGTGAGTGAGCTGGGGGCTGGGTTCCGCATTAGCTCACAAATCACAGGCTGATGAAGCCTCCATCATCCTAAACACGTGTCTTTGGGGTTTGCTGTGCCAGCCTTAGGAGACATTTATTCTTTTGTGTTTTAGACTGAATTGAAAATGTATCACTTCTGCTCATAGCATATTGGCCAGAATTTGTCACATGGCTCCACCTGGGCTGGAGGCATGGGTGGTCACTTGGATATTCCATAAGCAACAGGTGTCTCTGACACACACACTTACACCAATGTCTTCCATCACCATAATGACCTTGTGACACTGATGCTCTTGCTACTACCAATAACAGAGAAACCATTTATCATTTCCCAGTTCTGTATTAGCAATGAACTCCTGAAACCTCGTTTTACTCATCTAGAAACTGAGGCTCAAGGAGAGTAGTGTGTCACTTCAGGTCATCCTGGAATCAGGAGCCACGGTACAGTTAGAAGTAGCAGAGATTTGATAGGGCCAACCTCTCTGAAAAACACAGGGGAGAGAGCAAAGTAAGACACAGAAAGCCTTCAGCCCATGGTGTAACTCTGGCAGTGTGAGAGGATGGAGGAAAAGAAGAGCCAGCCTCGGGTGATGAGCAGCCCTGAGAGTTGCAGCTAGCCCAACAGGAGCTCCCAAGGACAGATGGACAGTTGGAGGAGTCTCACATTGCATAGAAATGGCCAGGCCCTAGGACCCCTGCCACGCTCAGGCACTGACTGGGAGCCACGTTTTTAGCTCTCATCTTGAGGCAGGTCCCAGAGATGCTGCAGCTGAGGCCATCAATTGACTGCACTCGGCACCACAGGTTTTCTTCTGAAGGGCTGCCTCAGATAGCTGTACAGACAGTAATTGGACAAGCCAGAATACAAGTTCTGGTGTCCTGGTACTAAGGCTTTCTGCTATGATAGTGTGTATTGCTGGCTACAGCAAAACTTTTAATATAATTATATTGCTATTAACTGAATAAAGAAACACAGTAAGAATTTTTTTAAAGCAATGAGAAGAAATATAAAGGTAATGTAGTCATGTGATCACAACTCTAGCCTCATGTCTGCCATTAACAAGGTATGTGACTTTGGCAGACTCATTTGACCTTTGTGCCTTACTTTTCTCAAGTGTTAAGCTAGATGATGATTGGACTAGATCAGTCATTCTCCAATTTTATCACAATCACCTACAGGACTTGCAGAAACAATGTAATTCTAGATCCTATTCCCAGAGTTCCTGATTCAGTAAATATTGAATATGGTTGGAGTTTCCATCTCTAATAAGTTCTGAGGTGCTGCTACTAGTTCGGGCCCCACACTTCAAAAACCACTCGACTAGATGCTAAGGTAGTTTCAAACTCATACACACTATGTTTGTGATTCAGCTACACCATTTTAAAATTATCATTGCTGTGGTTTTATATCTATGCTGTCATTTCCCATTCTAGACTAATATAAAGATTGCCTTCATTTCTATCTATAAACTACCAGTATAAATAACCCCGCAAATTAAATAAAAACATCTGATTTCTTACCATGTGACATGTGTTGTGCTAAATACAAAACTTTAGTTAGGAGACTAATAGAAAATACATCATTATCCTCATCTTTATCATCGTCATCATCATAGCTAACACTTACTGAACACACACAATGTCCTCTACTCTGCACTAGCTTTTTAGATCCATTATCTCAATTACACAAATTCATGATTAAACATTATACTATGAGTGTTTTAAGGAAGAAGCAACAAACTGTAAAGCACACAGACAGAGAAGCAAAAGAGGCTTTAGGACAGATAGGGTGTGGAAGGAGCAATCCAGTGAAAAGAGCAATATGAATAAAGTGGTAGCCATATATAGATGGCATGGTCTATTTGTGGAGTGAAGAGTAGTTTGGTGAAGTATCAATATATACTAGAGTGATTTTGGAGGTAAGGGAAAAATGCTGTTTGTGTAAGTGAGGGAAAGAAATAAAATGGATTCAGACATGCAGTTTTTTTAAATTTAACTTATTTTAAGTTCTCTGTTACTTGTGCACGTTTGTTATATAGGTAAACTTGTGTCATGGGTTTTGTTGTACAGATACATTCATTACCCAAGTATTAACTGTAGTACCCATTAGTTATTTTTCCTGATCCACACTCCAATAGGCCCCTGTGTGTTTTGTTCCCCTTTTTTTAGTTATTTTTCCTGATCCACATTCCAATAGGCCCCTGTGTGTTTTGTTCCCCTTTGTGTGTCCATGAGTTCTCATCATTTATCTCCCTCTTATAAGTGAGAACATGTGGTATTTGGTTTTCTGTTCGTGCATTAGTTTGCTAAGAATAATGGCTTATAGCTCCATCTGTGTTTCTGAAAATATCATGATCTTGTTCTTTTTTGTGGCTGCATAGTGTTCCATGGTGTATACGTACCACGTTTTCTTTATCCAGTCTACTGTCAATGGTAACTTAGGTTGATTCCATGTCTTTGCTATTGTGAGTAGTTCCGCAACAAACATATGCATGCATATGTCTTTATGATAGAACAATTTATATTCCTTTGGGTATATACTCAGTAATGGGATTGCAGTTCGGTTTTTAGGTCTTTAAAGAATTGCCACACTGTCTTCCTCAATGTTTCAACTAATTTATACACCCATCAACAATGTATAAGTTTTCATTTTTCTCTGCAACCTCACCAGCATCTGTTGTTCTTTGATTTTTTAATAATAGCCCTTCTGACTGGTGTGAGTTGGTATCTCATTGTGGTTTTGATTTGCGTTTCTTTATTAATCAGTGATGTTCAGCTCTTTTTCATGATTGTTGGTTGCATGTGTGTCTTCTTTTGAAAAGTGTCTGTTCACAGTTATGCAATTTAATTCTGTAGATCTAACACCTTTGACAACCACAGCTTAGAGCAGTCTGTACTGTGCCACCTGATAGGTCAGCAAACTCTGGTTGATGATTTTACTATAGATAAATGGAAAGAAAGCAGCGTAAATAGCATAAGACTTGTCCCAGCTCTACTGCAGAATAGACTGTGTGGCTTTGAGCAAGTCACCAGGTTCTGTCAGTATCGTGCTCTCCTCTGTAACATGAATTTGGTACTCACCATGCCTATCTTAAGGACAATTAGGAGTATCAAGTGTGAACAGTTTGTTAACCACAAAGGTCTGTGTATCTGTGTGCCATTATTAATAAGAAAGCTCTCTTCCATTTTTATCACGTTTAGATTTTCAAAACATTTCTAGATTTCTTGTTTAGCAGCAGATTTCAGTTCCTTCCAAGAAGGCCAGGTCTCCCACAGGAAATTGTCTAGCATTTACCCATTTGACTGGGGGGTATCCTGAGCTCGGGGTAGCTTTACGAATGTGGAAAGGGAACCCCCTGCCTTATAACTTGATATACAGGAATTTCCCCACCCACTTGGGGTAGGTTGTCCTCTCCTCACTAAATGCAAATAAGAGACTCCCAGAGAGTTAGTCCATGTGACGTTTTGTGGTATAGAACAATAAAAAGATGACAAGAACATAATGGAAAACCAAAACATCGTCAAATAAAACATGTAATTAATATATCCCAGGAGTTCAATTGGCTTCCTTCTCTGGTTGGAGCCTAGAGAAACAAAGGAAGGGAGCAAAATACAATTCAATTAAATAAAATGCAACGCAGGCTAAGGTCAAAGCTGTGCTCTAGGGATCTTTCATTAACCACTTGAAGGCAAGTTCAGAATGGCTTAATAAAAGCCTTGACCTCTGGCATTAGGAATATATTGTCAAGGGAAAATCAGATTCTTAGCCCAGAGAAAAGACAGGAAACTTTGTCTATAATCCAATTAACAGATTCATATAGAATTGGTATTTGGAAAATTCAGTCTATCTCTGAGGAGAGTGCTATGGAAGCTGGCTGAACTGGGACACCTTGGTTTCATGGGTTATCATTCCCTTGAAGCAGATGGCTAAACTGAACTTGAAGGCATCCAAAGACGATTATAGAAAATAACTCAAAATTCAGAGAGGAGTATTCTCAAAGAGAACATGATATCAAATAATTTATACTTGGCTTTAGAGTATTATCCTAACTCATTTTCTGCAGAGAATTTGCCTATGTACTGGTGTTTGGTTGAGATCATTATTAAAACAGACCAGCATTCTCTGGGTCTTCAATAACTAGAGTGGGGTAAAGGTGGCTGAGAGTTCTATTTGGAAACATAAAGTGTGAGATGACTATTAGACACTTACGTGGAAGTGTGGAATATGTGAATACCCTCAAAAGCCATCCCCTACACACTCAATTGTCTCCTAAGCTAAAGTCTCTTTCTCTTTCTTTCTTTCTTTCTTTCTTTCTTTCTTTCTTTCTTTCTTTCTTTCTTTCTTTCTTTCTTCCTTTCCTTTCCTTTCCTTCCTTCCTTCCTTCCTTCCTTCTTTCTTTCTTTCTTTCCTTTTTTCTTTCCTTCCTTCCTTTCTCTTTCTTTTTCTTTTTCTCTCTTTCTTTCTTTCTCTCTTTCTTTCTTTCCTTTCTTTCTTTCCTTTCTCTTTCTTTCTTTTCTTTCCTTCCTTCCTTCCTTCTTTCTTTCTTTCTTTCTTTCTTTCTTTCTTTCTTTCTTTCTTTCCTTTTTTCTTTCCTTCCTTCCTTCCTTTCTTTCTCTCTTTCTTTCTCTCTTTCTTTCTTTCTTTCCTTCTTTCTTTCTTTCCTTTCTTCCTTCCTTCCTTCCTTCCTTCCTTCCTTCCTTCCTTCCTTCCTTCCTTCCTTCCTTCCTTTCCTTCTTTCTTTCTTCCTTTTTTAATTATTCCCATAGTCTATTGGGGAACAGGTGATGTTTGGTGACATGAGTAAGTCCTTTTAGTGGTGATTTGTGAGATTCTGGTGCACCCATCACCCGAGCAGTATACACTGTCTTATAGTCTTAACCATGAAGTGTTTAGATATTTCTGCCTGTCCCCTGGGATGTTCCCTCATCACAGCAAACCCAGTATATCTAAAACAAAACTCATCTTCTTCCTCGACAAGTCGCCTTTCTTTGTGCCATTTCTTTTTCTGCTATGGGTTTCATCATTTTTCCAAGTCACCCAGGTTGTAAACCTCTTGGGTATTCTAGGTTCCTCCCTGTCTTTTCCGACCCAGGTCAAGTCACCAAGTCTTGTCCATCATAACTTTGTAAAGGCCATTCTATAGTTCTCTCTCTTCACTTAATCTCTTACTACTCTTGTTTAGTCCAACATCCCCGGAATTCCTTTATGTCTAGAAATCAGTCATCTTGACTACATCTCCCAACATTTACTTTCAGTCTTTGTATTACCTCCATACTTATCTTTCAAAAACAGTCCCCTGCCAGTGTCCCATTCCAATTCAGAAACAATGGACTTACCATTTGTGATAAAGACTGCTAGGTGACTTCCAGTGTTCATCAATCCACTTATTATTCCTTAAAAACAGAACCCTGGACAATGTGCATAGCTGAGACAATAATCTTTCCCAGGTTCCCTTGCAGTTGTATTCAGTCATGTAATCAAGTTCTAGCCAGTGAGATGTAAGCAGCAGTTGTCTTTTGAGTTGTTTTCTTCAAAAGAAAGAAGCAATTTCTTCATCTTCCTTCCCAAGCCTGGAATGGGATAAAATTGCTGGAGCTCCAGTAGCTGTCTTGAATCTTAAAATAATCTTGAGGGTGGAAGACAGCAAGGAAGATGACTGAACAGAAAGATAGAAAGAGACCAAGTCCCTGATGACTTTATGGGGTCGTCATACAACCCTGAACAGCTTAATTCTGTACCTCTTTTATTTACATAGAAAAATAAACATTTGTGTGTTTAAGCCACTATCCTGGGGGTATATTACTTATAGAAGAAGGCAAATCTGAACTGGCATACCTTTCCCCCCAGGATGATGTCTGAAGTACTTAATTTTATATTCACAATGGAAACTCTGCCTTTTCAAAGCCTATTTCTACAACACTTCTCCTACCAGAAAAATTTCTCTCAATCAGGTCAATATTCTTCAAATGTGCTATGCATTCTCTTGTTTCTGAAATATGCTACTTTATCTCAGGGACCCTGACTTTTGTTTATTTCCACAGCATCCAGCAAATACCTTGCATTGGTACTCAAATAAACATAGAATATAATAGACTTTTCAAGATGAGGGAAAATTTAAAATTTCTCTTATCCAAAATTGTCCACATAGCAAAGGAAAATTCTTTATATACTTGGTACTCAAACTATGTTTGGTGGCCAACAGCATTTTATAAGACCCCAGGTGACTCAAAATGCACCTTAAAATTTGAAAGGCATTGCATCTCAGCATCTCTAATTGAATGCCATTCAATTGCCATGTAGGTTGCTAACAAATAAACAAAACACCCTATCCTGTTCTTGGACAGCTGTAATTGTCAGTTAGTCATTCCACATAAGCTGAAAATTGCTTTTTTGGAACTTTCACCTATGATTTTCCTATTTCTGGTCTCTGGAATAACAATAAATAATACTGATCTACCACAAATATTTGAAGATAGCTATCACTGGTTCTAAGCCTTCCCTTTTCTTTCTGTTTTTTTTTTTTGGTGGGGGGAAGGGGAAGGTACATGTGATAATTTGATACATTCATGTGATTTGTAAAGATCAAATCGGTGTAATTGGGATATCCATCATGTTAAATGTTTGTCTTTTCTTTATGCTAAAAACATTCCAATTATTGTCTTCTAGCTATTTTGAAATATATAATATATTATTATAAACTATAGTCACCTCTTTTCAAAGGTGAATAACCCATTTGAATTGACATTCTTTTAAAAATTTTAGTACCTTGAATGGCAATTTTTTTCTTTTATTTTTTGTTGATACATATTAATAACAATCATACATATTTATGGATTACAGTGTGATATTTTGACACAGGTATACAATGTGTAATGATCATATCAGTAGCATATCCATCACCTCAAACATTTATCATTTCTTTGTGTTGGAAACATTCTAAATTCTCTTTTCTAGCTATTTGAAAATATATAATAAATTGTTGTTAATTATAGTCACCCTATACTTCTATAAAACAGAATTTATTCTTCCAATCTAGCTGTACTTTCTATGGCCTGATTTTTAGACACTTTGTCTTCTTCTAATGAATACTATCTTGTTAGTGCTCTAATTAGAATACAAAACCAGAATTCAGTATTATTCTCTGAATGTATGAGACTAGATGCCACATGAAACAGTGGGCTGTGACTTCCTTCATTTGCAGCCATAATTTACTATATGGAAATGTTCATTAATCACTATAGTTTTGATGTTCTCATAATTAACACATATTTTTACTTACACAAATTCTTTAAAATAATTTTTAAGTTAAAATGTGCTGAAAAATATCAAAAATCACATCTTGTTTATGTATTTGTTTTCATCAGAAGAAAAAAACGCTATGTACGAATCAGGACTCCTCTTTTCTAGAAAGAGAGCTTCATTTTCTACCACCGAAAACTAAACAAAGTTCTATCTAGTACTGTAAGCTCTCTAGAGTGTCTCACTTTCTAACTGCCTATATAGGACACTTTCTCTTAGTTAATATGCGTGTACCATAAACTCAGCAGCCTTAAGCCTAGCTTATCTTTCTGCTCTTTCTATAGATATGCATGAATGTGTCTTACCATCCTTTTAGAGAGCAGTCTCCTTGACCGCAGAAATTGATATTTCCCACACCTAGCACAACAAATAACTCATGCTAGACACTAAATAAATATTTGTAAATGAAGGAGACACTGTTTATTCACTGGGACATAGGACGTTACTAGATTTGACTTCAGTAGCATGAGTTAAGATAGACAAACCAGTAAAATACCAGAACTCTTCTTGCTACCTTCAGGTGAAATGTATAGCTCCCTCTGGGATTGTCCCAACAAAGAAGCTGACCTAGTTTAATAGAGTATAAATATAGTGTGTTCCCAAAAGGTCCCCAAACACGAGATACACTAAAATGTATCTTCAATGTTTCAAGTGGTGCAACTAATACAGATTGACCCACTTAAAATGAGCCTTTTTACACAAAGTGGTTTCTATTTCACCAGGACCATCCCACAGAATTCTTACTGTCTACTGTCTAGCAGGATTCCACTTCTTTTTCTCTGAATAGCTTTTGAATAATTTGTATTTACCAAAAAACAAACTCACGGCACGCAGACAAACAACCACAACCACAAATCAGCAACACGACATTTGACCAAAATCATGTGATTCTTAAAAAGAAATGTAGGCAAATGCAAAAATGGAGAAGAACATCTAACTTCAACATTTTCCATCATTTTATAGTCTCAATTTGGACAACTTCACTCAACTTCACCTATACCTAGACGATGTAGGGAACTATATCTTCTAGATATTATATCTGAGATTAGGTAGCTGTCAGACGGTAAATATTATTGCCTTGTTTGTGGTATCATAAAGTGCTCATTAACATTAGTATCTGGGGAAAATAGCATCCTAGTTGTATAATTTTAGGAAAAGGGACCACTTTACTGAAATAGGCAAAGGTAAGTCTTATGCAGTATTATTCATATCTTTCCCTAATTAATTAAATGATGACCAAGATTAAAATGACAATTAGTAGCGGTTCATTCTATACCTAGGGAAAGTTCACCCACTACCCTCTTCTCTCCCTCAATGTCACTTCAGTAAAGAGAAGCTTTGATTTTGTAATTAGCAGGGGATAGAGTGGTTTGCATTGCTCCCTCTTCTGTCCATCCCAAACTTAAGTTTATGTCCTAGAGATGGCCCAAGGCCATCTCCCACCTGGGGGGACTTCACTGCCTTGGAAGTTCTAAAGGGTTAGACCAGGGGAAGGAGAAATCGCATAGATGGCTTAGGCCAGCTTCAGTCTGGGTTTAGGAGCAGAGGCTCATTTTTTTTTTTTTTTTTTTTCCCCACTGTGAAGCCATAAAAGCAAGCTAATGAAATGAAAAAACTGCCTCCTATTGATGGAAGTTTTGGGTTGCTTCCAATCTTTTGCTATTATTAACAATGCTGCAATAGATATTCAGGTATATCATTTTGCATGCGTCCTAGGATAACTCTAGGATACATTCCCAGAAGTGAAATAGCTGGGTCAAAGGGTATATGCATTTGTAATCTTAACAGATATTACCAAATTGCCCTCCCTAAGGGTTGTAACAATTTACATTCCCACCAGCAATGTATGAAAGTGACTCTTTCCCTGTAGCCTCAGGAACAGATTGTATCATACTTTTGGATATGTAACAATCTGATAGGTGAAAAACGGTATCTTAATGTAGCTTTTAAATTGCATTTCACCTATGAGTAGTTTCACATATTTAAAAAATACTTTGAATTGCCCTTTATATTTTTTGCTCATTTTAATATCGGGTTTTATCAAACTCTAAGAGCTCTTTACATATTGGGAGATAAGTTCTTTTTCTTGCTATTCATTGCAAGTATTTAAATTCAGTTTAACATTTATATTTATCTTTGTTTAATGGTATGCCTTCATGCTAAAATTTTCTTTTAATTTTATGTAGTCAAGTATAACATTTTTTAAAATTTTGAATTTTGAGTTATATTTAAATAGGCTTTTTCCTATCCAAGCTTCAAATGGAAACTTTCCATGTTTTCTTTCAGTATTTTTATGGCTTCATGTTTTTTATTTAAATCTTGACCCATTTGGAATTTATCCTGCTTTGAGGTATGGTATGTAGATCCAATTGTTTCAACAACTTTAATTGTATACTCTCTCTTTCTCTCTGAGTTGAGATACCACCTTTGTTGTATACATTTGATTCTATTCCTAAACTTTCTCTGTGTTTCCCCATGAGTACATTGGTTTCTTCATGAGTTGGTGCCATGCACTTTTCATTATTCAGGATTTATAGTATGTTTGAAATCAAGTAGATTCTTCCTTGCTTTTCTTTTTCAGAATTTCTCTAAATATTGTTGTTGATTTTTGCCTAATTTTAAAAAATTATCTTTAGCTTTTTTAAAAAAAATTATAATTTTACTGGGATTATATTAATTTTCTAAATTAAGTTAGAGAAATTGACATCTTTGCAATGTTGGATCCCCCCAATCTAGAACATTCATGTCTTTCTGTTTGTTAAATTTTACTATCTTTAGTTAATTTTACAGTTTTCTTAATATGTCTTGGACTTTTCCTGTTAATTTTCTTTCAAGGCATTTTATCTTATTGTGTTGCTATTGTAAATGCTATTGTAAAGATCCCTTCTTCTATCTTATACTCCAAGTGGTTATTGTTTATATTTATAAAAAACATTGATTTATCCATATCGATTACATATCCCCACTGTTTTTTTTTTTATTAACACTTTTATTCAGTTGATTTTCTTGGGGTTATTCCAGGTTATTGCCAAGCATTTTTAAATACTGATTTTGTTTTCCACCTTGTTTCCAACTTAGTACCTCTATTTTTTTCTATTCCAATTCTGTTGACTAGTACTTCTAGCATAATGTTAAGTAATAGTGTTGATTATGGGCAACTTCTTTATGTTTTTAGGAGGAATTCTCCTGTGGTTTTGCAATAAAGAATGATACTCTATTTAGTGCTCACATATACATATATTATCATATTAAGAAATTATTTAACCCTATTTTATTGAGTTTTTTAAAAATCAAGGATGACGTGGATTTTTGAAAACATCAGGTTTATTAAAGGGTAATTTTCACATGGTAAAATTCAGCTTTTTTACATTCAGTGCTTGGAGATTTTGACAAATGTATTTAAGATACAGAATTTTTCATCACCACAGAATGTTTCCATGGGCCCTTTATAGCCAATTTTCCCAACACCCCCACCCCTGTCAACCACTGATTTGCTGCTTTTTACCTATGGCTTTGTTTTTTCCAAATTGAGTGGAATCATACAACATGTAACCTTTTTGTATCTTGCTTATTTCTTTTAGCAAAATGCTTTTGAGATGCATCCATGTTGTTGTATTTATCAGTAGTTGTTTCTTTTTATTGTTGAGGAGTCCTTTGTATGGATGTACTATGGTTTGTTTCTCCAACATCCATTTGACAGGCATTTGGGATGGATCTAGGTTTCAGTTTGCTCTAAACAACCTACATGTCTTTGTGTGGCCTTATGTTTCCATTTCTTTGGGGTAAATATCCAGGAGTGAAAATCTGAATTGTATAGTAAGTGCATGTATAACTTTATAAGAATTTGCCAAACTGTTTCCCCAAGCGGCTGTATGACTTTGCATCCACCCCAACAATGTGTGAAACTTGCAGTTGCTGTATATTCTTGTCAGCACTTTGCTTTGTCTTTTTTTGTAGTTTTATAAGTGTACAGTAATATTTCATTGTGATTTTAATTTGAATTTTCCTAATGACCAATGACGTTTAGGATTTTTTATGTGTTTATTTGTCACCTGTATCTCCTCTTTGGTGAAACATCTGCTCAAATCTTTTGCCCCTTTTAATTAGAAAATTTGTCTAATTATTTTAGTAGCTTAATTAACTGCAGTTGAAAATACTGAACTGCATGTATTAAAAGTATACAATTTGATAAGTTTTGACAGCTATACATACCCATGAAACCACCAAAATCAAATAATAAATATACCTATTGCCCTAAAAGTTTCTTCTTTTTGACCTGTTAAAATTCTCCCTTCTAACACCTCTCCACTCTGACCCTCATCCTCAGGAAACCAGTGACATGATCCCTGCCACTAAAGATTTTCTAGAATTTTATATAAATGGAGTAATGCAGTATGCACTTGTTAACAAAATGCTGCTTTTTTTCACTGACATCATTATTTTGAAGTAAGTCTGTTGTTTCATGTAATAGATGAGATTGAGCACATTCACGGTGATATGACCACAGACTGCATTGCCCTTGCATCGATTTTCATTCCTTTACATTGCTGAGGATTAATTTAGGGAGTATTGCCACGTTTACAATAGTAAGTCTTCCAATGCATGAACATGGCATGGCTTCGTTTCTTTAGCTGCTCTTTTACTTTTTCAACAAGGTTTCATAGATTTCAGTGTGGAATCCTTAAACTTATTTTGTTACATTTATTCTCATTTTATTCTTTTTATACTGTCATAAATAGAATTATTTTCTTAATTTCATTTTTAGATTGTTCCTTAAAAATGTATAGAAAAACGAATTTTTGTGTATTGATCTTGCATCCTGTAACCTCACTGAATTTATCAGGTCTAATAGCTCTTTTGTGGGCTTCAAAGTTGTTTAATTCAGAGTCCTCACCTGTCCCAAGATCCCCTTGTGTACACAGAGCTAGCCACTCCATGCTACAGCCAACCCTAACACTGGAGACTGACTGTGGAGTTAGTCTGCCTCGGTTGAACCCTAACTGTAACTTTTGGACAAGTGACCTCTCCTCTGAGCCTTGCTTTGTTCACATAAAGAAATACATATAATAATAACAGTATCTACTTCATAGGATCATTATGTGGATTAAATGAGATACCATATATGAAACCTTCAGCATTATTTCATTTAGGGAAGTACTTTACAAACTATACTGATTGTTTATTATTCTTACTTATCAGGGGAACATATTGTAGTTAGGTGGGTACACTCAATGGGAAAGTGAAGTGATTCACAGACTTTACAGGCTTGCCTGAGAAAGGCAGGGGCTCAGGCTTTCCCCAACTCCCCCACCCAAAACCCTTCCAGAAGCCCTACACTGGCTGGATGTTAGGAGGATACTGTGTCCACTCTCCTACTCTGTCTAGACTTCTACAGAAGACAGAGAAAGGTCACATCAATGGTTCTTCCAGAAAGGTAAATAAACTAGGCAGGAAGCCTTCTTCCTTAGATCAAACCTCATGCTTAGGTCAAGCTCCAAGGAAAAAAAAATAAAAAATAATAATAATTTTCTGCACTTTTACATTAAACCCCTTTGTGTCTCTGCATCTAAAGTGTCTCTTTTGTGGCCAGCATATAGTTTGGTTATTTTAAAAATCCATTCTGCCAATCTCTGCTTTTTAATTGGAGCATTTAATCCAGTTATGTTTAGTAGAATTACTGGTAATTAGGATTTATATCTGTCATTTTGTTATTTGTCTACTATATGTTTGATTTTTTTTTGTTTTTTTATTCCTTCATACTGACTTCTTTTGTGTTAAAAATTTATTTTCTAGTAATTTTAATTATCTCGTTGTTTCTTTTACCATACATTTTGAGTTATTTTCTTAATGACTGACCTGGGATTTCGATTAACACCTTAGTTTATAACAATCTAGTGTATGCTTATAGCAACTTATTTTCAGTAGTATATATTATGCACTGAATTATGTTCCCTCCAAAATTCAAATATTGAAGCCCTAACCCCTAATGTGACTGTAATTGGAGACAGGATCTTTAAGGAGTAAAGTTAAATGAGGTCATAAGAGTTGGGCTTTAATTTGATATAACTTGTGCCCTTAAAGAAGAGGACAAGACCACAGAAAGATCTCTCTCATTGTGTTTGCACAAAGGAAAGACGATGCGAGGACACAGTGAGAAGATAGCGTCCACAAACCAGAAAAAGAGAGCTCACCAGAAACCAACCCTGACAACATCTTGATCTTGGAGTTCCAGCCTCCAGAACTGTGAGAAAAAAAATTTTTGTTGTTTAAGTCACCAGTCTGTGGTATTCTGTTATGGTTGCCCAAGCAGACTAATACAGTATACAAAAACTTGTATTGTCACAATTTACATGTTTATGCATTGTATGCCCACAAATACAGATTTACAACTTTTGCTCTATGTAACTGTCTTTTAAGTCAGATAAGAAAAAAAAGGAGTTACAACAAAATACATTTATACTGCTTTTTTATATTTACCTATGTGTTAACCTTTATTAGTACTCTTTAATTCTTCATATTGATTTTAATTTCTTTCTAGTGTTCTTTCATTTCAGCCTGAAATATTCCCATTAATATTTCCCACATGGCATGTCTGCTAGTGATACATTCTGGTTTATTACCTGAAAATCTCTAATTTCTCCTTTATGTTTGAAAAATATTTTTTTCTGGATGTAGAATTTATGATTGAGAGGGCTTGGGGGTTTTTATTTGCTTGTTTTTACCTTTCAATCCTTTGAATATGTTATTCCATTACTTTCTAGCGTCCATGATTTCTAATAAGAAATCAGCTTATTGAGGGTAGCTTGTAAGTAGTAAGTCACTTTTCTCATGCTGCTTCCAAGATGGTTTTTGACGTTCAGCAGTATGATAATGATGTATCTAGATGTGAGTTATTTTTAGTTTATCCTACTTGGAGTTTATTGAACTTCTTGAATGTATAGATTAATGTTTCTCATTAGATTTGGAAATTTTAGCCACTATTTATTCTTTCTGGATATTCCTTTTTTGCAATGTCTTTTCTGCCTTCTTCTTTCTTCTGTCCTTCTGAGAGTACCATTACATGTATCTTGGTGTGCTTGTTGATATCCCACCGGTCTCTTAAGGCTCTGTGTATTTTTTTGTATCCTTTTTTATTTTATTTATTCAACCTACATAATTTTTTTTGTTTGCTCTGTATGATTTTATTATTATTTTTTATTTTTTTCCAGAAGTTATTGGGTACAGGTGGTATTTGGTTACATGAGTAAGTTCTTTAGTGGTGATTTGTGAGATTTTGGTGCACTCATCAACCAAGCAGTATACACTGCACTGTATTTGTAGTCTTATATCCCTCGCCCCCCTCCCAGTCTTCCCCCCAAGTCCCCAAAGTCCATTGTATCATTTTAATGCCTTTGCATCCTCTTAGCTTAGCTCCCACATATCAGTTAGAACATACGATGTTTGGTTTTCCACTGTTGAGTTACTTCACTTAGAATAATAGTCTCCAATCTCATCCAGGTCACTGGAAATGCTATTAATTCATTCCTTTTTATGGCTGAATAGTATTCCATCATATATATCACAGTTTCTTTATCCATTCGTTGATTGATGGGCATTTGGGTTGGTTCCACGACTTTGCAATTGAGAATCTTGCTGCTATAAACATGCATTTGCAAGTATCTTTTTTGAATAATGACTTCTTTTCCTCTGGGTAGATACCCAGTAGTGGAATTGCTGGATCACATGGTAGTTCTACTTTTAGCTCTTTAAGGAATCTCCATACATTTTCCCACAGTGGCTGTACTAGTTTACATTCCCATCAGCAGTGGAGAAATGTTCCCTGATCACTGCATTCATGCTAACATCTGCTGTTTTTTGATTTTTTGATTATGGCCATTCTTGCAGGAGTAAAACCACATTGTGGTTTAGATTTGCATTTCCCTGATCATTAGTGATGTTGAGCATTTTTTCATATGTTGGCCATTTGTATATCTTCTTTTGAGAATTCTCTGTTCATATCCTTAGCCCACTTTTTGAAGGGATTGTTTTTTTCTTGCTGATTTGTTTGAATTCATTGTAGATTCTAAATATTATTCCTTTGTCAGATATATAGATTGTGAAGATTTTCTCCTACACTGTGGGTTGTCTGTTTACTCTGCTGAGTGTTCCTTCTGCTGTGCAAAAGTGCTTTAGTTTAGTAAGGTCCCAGCTATTTATCTTTGTTTTTATTGCATTTGCTTTTGGGTTCTTGGTCATGAAATCCTTGCCTAAGTCAATGTCTAGAAGGGTTTTTCAAATGTTATCTTCTAGAATTTTTATAGTTTCAGGTCTTAGGTTTAAGTCCTTAATCCATCTTGAGCTGACTTTTGTATAAAGTGAGAGATGAGGATCCAGTTTCATTCTTCTACATGTGGCTTGCCAATTATCTCAGTACCATCTTTGAAAAGGGTGTCCTTTCCCCATTTTATGTTTTTCTTTGCTTTGTCAAAAATCAGTTGGATGTAAGTATTTGGGCTTATTTCTGGCTTCTCTATTCTGTTCCATGGGTCTATGTGCCTATTTTTATACCAGTACCATGCTGTTTTGGTGACTATAACCTTACAGGATAGTTTGAAATTGGGTAGTATGATGTCTCCAGATTTGTTCTTTTTGCTTAGTCTTGCTTTGGCTATGTGGACTCTTTTTTTGGTTCCACATGAATTTTAGAATTGTTTTTTCTAATTCTGTGAAGAATGATGATGCTATCTTGATGGGGATTGCATTGAATTTGTAGATTGCTTTTGGCAGGATGGTCATTTTCACAATATTGATTCTACCCATTCATGAGCATGGGATGTGTTTCCATTTATTTGTGTCGTCTATTATTTCTGTCAACAGTGTTTTGTAGTTTTCCTTGTAGAGGTCTTTTGACTCCCTGGTTAAGTATATTCCTAAGTTTTTTTTGGTTTTCATTGTTGTTGTTGTTTTGGCAGCTATCGTAAAAGGAGTTGAGTTCTTGATTTGAATGATCTTGTGTATTTCAGTGGTGTCAGTTGTAATACCTCCTGTTTTATTTCTTAGTGAGGTTTTTTGGATTTTTCTCTTCTTTTCTTGGTTAATCTTGCTAATGGTCTATCAAATTTATTTATCTTTTCCAAGAACCAGCTTTTTGTTCCATTGATCTTTTGTATTTTTTTTTAATTTCAATTTCATTTAGTTCTGCTCTGATCTTGGTTATTTCCTTTCTTCTGCTGGGTTTTGATTTGGTTTGTTCTTGTTTCTCCAGTTCCTTGAGGTGTGACCTTAGAATGTCAGTTTGTACTCTTTCAGACTTTTTGAGGTAGGCATGCATTTAGGACTATGAACTTTCCCCTCAGCACTGCCTTTGCTGTATCCCAGAGGTTTTGATAGGTTCTGTCATTATTGTTGTTCAGTTTGAATAATTTTATAATTTCCATCTTGATTTCTTTTTTTTTTTTTTTTTTTTTTTTTTTTAGATGGAGTCTCACTCTGTCACCAAGGCCAGAGTGCAGTGGCACCGTATCAGCTCATTGCAACCTCCTTCTCTTGGGTTCAAGCAATTCTCCTGCCTCAGCCTCCCGAATAGCTGGGATTACAGGTGCCTACCACCATGCCCAGCTAGTTTTTATATTTTTAGTAGAGACAGGGTTTCACCATGTTGGCCAGGCTGGTCTCAAACTCCTAACATCAGGTGATCCTCCTGCCTCAGCCTCCCAAAGTTCTGGGATTACAGGCGTGAACCATGACACCTGGCCTTGATTTCATTTTTGACCCAATGCTCATTCAGGAACAGGTTATTTAATTTCCATGTATTTGCATGGTTTTGAATGTTCCTTTTAGAGTTGATTTCCAGTTTTATTCCACTGTGGTCTGATGGAGTGTTTGATATAATTTAAGTTTTCTTAAATTTATTGAGGCTCATTTTATGGCCCATCATATGGTCTATCTTGGAGCAAGTTCCATGCACTGTTAAATAGAATGTATATTCTGCGGTTGTTGGATGAAATGTTCTCATCTGTTAAGGGCATTTGTTCCAAGGTGTAGTTTAAATCCATTGTTTCTTTGTTGACTTCCTGTCGTGATGACCTGTCTGGTGCTGTCAGTGGAGTATTGAAGTTCCCCACTATTTTTGTATTACTGTCTATCTCATTTCTTAGGTCTATTAGTAATTGTTTTATAAATCTGGGAGCTCCAGTGTTAGGTGCATATATGTGTAGGGTTGTGATATTTTCCTGTCAGACAAGGCCTTTTACCGCTATATAATGTTCCTCTTTGTCTATTTTAACTGCTGTTGCTTTAAAGTTTGTTTTGTCTGATATGAGAATAGCTACCCCTGCTTGCTTTTGGTGTCCATTTGCATGAAATGCCTTTTTCCACTCTTTTAAGTTTATGTGAGTCCTTACATGCTAGGTGAGTTTTCTGAAGGCAGCAGATAGTTGGTTGATTAGTTCTTATCCATTTTGTGGTTTTGTGTCTTTTAAGTGGGGCATTTAAGCCATTTACATTTAATGTTAGTATTGAAATGTGAGATACCATTGCATTCATTGTGCTCTTTGTTGCCTGCGTCCTTTGTTTTTGTTTTTTGCTTTTGCTTTTTAACATGTCTTTTTGTTTTATAGGTCCTATGTGATTAATGCTTAAAAGAGGTTCTGTTTTGATGTGTTTCTGGGATTCATTTCAAGATTTAGAGCTCTTTTTAGCAGTTCTTATAGTGGTGGCTTGGTAATGGAGAATTCTCTCAGCATTTGTTTGTCTGAAAAAGACTATATCTTTCCTTCATATATGATGTTTAGTTTCACTGGATACACAATTCTTGGCTGATAATTGTTCTGTTTGAGGAGGCTGAAGGTAGGGCCCCAATCCCTTCTAGCATATAGGGTTTCTGCTGAGAAATCTGCTGTTAATCTGATAGGTTTTCCTTTATAGGTTACATGGTGCTTTTGTCACAGCTCTTAAGATTCTTTCCTACGTCTTAACTTTGGATAATCTGATGACAATGTATCTAGGCAATGATCTTTTTGTGATGAATTTCCCAGGTGTTCTTTGTGATTCTTGTATTTAGATGTCTAGGTCTCTAGCAAAGCTGGGTAAGTTTTCCTCAATTATTCCCCCAAATATGTTTTCCAAGCTTTTATAATCCTCTTGTTCCTCAGGAACACTGAATATTCTTAGGTTTGGTCATTTAACATAATCCCAGACTTCTTGGAGGCAATGTTCATATTTTCTTATTTTTTTCCTTTGTCTTAGTTGGATAGGGTTAATGCGAAGACCTTGTCTTTGAGCTCTGAATTTCTTTTTTCTACTTGTTCAATTCTATTGCTGAGACTTTCCAGAGCATTTCGCATCTCTTTTTTATTCTTTCTTATTTATTTATTTATTTTTGAGATGGAATCTTGCTCTGTCACCAGGCTGGATTGTAGAGGCATGATCTCAGCTCACTGCGACCTCTGCCTCCTGGGTTCAAGCAATTCTCCTGCCTCAGCCTCCCGAGTAGCTGGGACTATAGGCGTGCAACACCATGCCCAGCTAATTTTTGTATTTTTAGTAGGGATGGGGTTTCACCATGTTGGCCAGGATGGTGTCGATCTCTTGACCTTGTGATCTGCCTGCCTCAGCCTCCTGAATTGCTGGGATTACAGGCATGAGCCACTGCACCTGGCCAGCTGGCTTTAGCTCAGCGGTTACTTTGACAATGCATTTTGCATTTCTACAAGTGTGTCCAAAATTTCTTAAATTTTTAATTTTTTTTCTTTAAGCTATCTGTTTCCTTGAGTATTTTTCCCTTCACTTCTTGTATCGTTTTTTGGATTTCCTTGCATTGGGCTTCGCCTTTCTCTGGTGCCTCCCTGTTTAGCTTAATAACTAACCTCTTGAATTATTTTTCATGTAAATCACAACCTAGATAATCTTAACAGACTTATCTTCAAGTTCAAGAATTCTTCTTGCTCAAACTTTCTTTTGACTACCTCTAGTAAACTTTTAATTTCAGCTACTATATTTTTCAACATCAGAATTTTTATTTTTAAAATCATTTCTATATTTCTTGATATTCTCTATTTCATGAGACATAATTTTTATATTTTCCTTTAGCTATTTAAATTTTTTGTTGTTGTTCTTTGAACATTTTTAAAATACTGACCTAAATTCTATGTCTGTAAAGTCCAAGATCTGGGCTTCTCCAGGGACAGTTTCTGTTGACTGCATTTATCCCTGAGTGTCGGCCATACTTACTTGTTTTTCCATGTCGCATAATTTTGCATGGAAAAAATGGACATTTTAAATAATAAAATATGGCAGTGCTGGAAATCAGATTCTCTCTGATCCTCAGTGTTTCTCGTTTCTGCTTGTTTTAGTTGTGGATTTTTGTTTTTGTTGTTTTTTACTGATTCTGTAAAGTATGTATTGTTTATTATGTGTGCCCACTGAAGTCTCTAGCTTAGTGGTTAGCTAACAACTGAATAAAGATTTTCTTAAATGCTTGTGTAGCAGTTTTCTATGGCTCTGTAAATATTTACCACAAGCTTAGTGTCTTAAACAATACACATCTATTTTTTCATAGTTCTGGATGTCAGAAATCTCAAACCAGGTTCACTGAGATGACATTAAGGTGTTGGCAGGACTGCACGTGCTCTAGAGGAACAAGGGGAGAATCTGATTCCTTGCCATTTCCAGCTCCAAGAGTTTTATTCTTTGCATTCCGTAGTTGATGGGACCTTCTTCCATCTTCAAAGCCAGCAGTGTAGCATCTTGCTTCAGTCCTCATGTTACCTTCTTCTTTTGTGTCACATCTCAATATCCTTAGCTTCAGGACATCGATAAGTTTCTTTTGCCATATAAGTCAACATTCACAGGTTCCAAAGATTAGGACTTGGGAATTGTTGGTGGCCATTATTCAGCCTACCATAGCCAAGAACCAAGCCATCTAGTCTTTGCCAAGAGGTTGTGTGTGTGCACATGCTGGGGCAGACATTCAACGTTCAGCCAGACAATTGACAACTTGTTCTTAGCCTTTACTTTCTGCTTAAGTAGCTAGCTCTTCATACTCCAGCTTTTCCTTTAAAGCCTTTTGTTTACTCTATTGTTCATCCCTAATCAATATCCCTCATATTAGGCAGCCACAAGTTTAAAACACTAGCCAGGAACTGTTTTAAACAAGTGCTCCCTGGGAAGAAAAGCTTTTCATATTGGGGAAGCTCTAAGTTAAATAAAATACTGTCAGCCTTGTAAATAGGGTCTTCTAGGAAACCATCGGACAGGTTAAATAATGACAATTCTTTGTGCATGATGTTTTGAAAGACTTTTGGCTTCATTCTGCTCCTTCCACTGTCTGGAAGGCTGCATTGAGAATGCAGGCTGTTATTTTTCAAGGCTATCACAGAGTTGGAGAAAGGAGAGGAGAAATTAGGCAAATTAAATACCACAAGTTTCACTGTTATTACCACGATTCAGCTACTTTTTTTCCAATAAATTCTCCCTGGGTTGCTACAAAACTCAATAATTATTAGAGTTCTGAAAAAATCGAGTCTGGAAGTTTCTGCCAATTTTTTATTGCTTTTATGAAAAAGAAAAATTTTTGAGGTACTTATTCCACCATTTTTGTTGATTGATTCGTAAAGCTGTTTTAAAAAGTGGTTATACCATTTTATATTCCCATGACCAGTGTGTGAGATTAGCAGTTCTGCACATCCTCACCAATACTTTGTATGGTTAGTCTTTTTTGTGTGTCTGCTTTATGTGTGTAGTGGTATCTCATCGAGGTTTTAATTTGTGTTGTCCTGATAATGCTGAACATCTTTTCATGCATTTATTTGTCATCTGCGTATCTTCTTTGGTGACATGTCTTTCATGTTTGTTTCTCTGATTGCTTGCTTGTTTGCATAAGGATGTCTGAATATTCCAGAAACATTTGTTAAAAAGTTTGTCATTTCTCTGCTGAATTGCCTTTGCACCTTTGTAGAAAATCAATTGACCATAAATGTTTAGAACAATAAATATAAGGGTAAATTGCATTTATATCCAGAAATCATTTTACCTCTCCTTCTGCTGGGTCATTTGCGTGTGTCTATGGAGGGATTTTACTTCAATCTTGTCATTAATTGAAGGGGGTTTAAATTTTATAGTTACTGTTATAATCCTCTGTATGTGACAGGCTTCAAATTCCTCCAACTCTGGACCTCTGTTCCCTTGCAGGGCATGTAGGTGGGCATTCCTCAGTCCAATTCCATGCGTAGGTTTCAGCCATCCCTGTGTGTGTGTCATAGTGTAGGCTTCTTTCCATGCTTTTACCTCATTTCTAGTGATAAACTGCTATTCTGTGTTACTTGGTGCTAGTTCATGGTGCAAGGTGAGGGGATGATTCTCAGTTTTTCTGCTGTATTTTGTCAAACATTTTTTTAGCATCTATGAACATGCTTATATGATTTTGTTCTCCTTAAATCTATTAATATGATAAAATATGTCAAAAAATTTCCTAATATTGAACAAATGTTACCTTCCTTCAATAAACTCCACTTGGTCACTATGCATTTTGTTTTCTATCAGTTTTTGTTTATAAATATTTTGTTTGGGATTTTTGAAAAAATATTTAAAATGACACTGGTTCATTGTTTTATAATACAGAATTTGTCTGGAGTTTGCTTAAAAAATAATTTGAAAGTTAATGTTTAACTTCATACTCTAACTTGCAAGATGTTTTTTTTTTTACCATTCTTCAAAACAGCTAAGTAGAATTGGAAACACATTTGTAGTTAATCTGTTATATTGATTTCTTTCAAATCACTAACTTTTTTGTGCATCAATTTGTTTTTCTGTTTTCCTGTTTTCTAACTCACTGTCAGCTTTTATCTTTTGAAATTCTATTCTTCTAAGTTTACTTGTGGTATTTAATTACTTTATTTTTGTTCATGTTTCATTTTTAGGTTATATAATCTACCCTATATTTTCTGTAGTGTCTATTTACCATTGGGCTTCTTAAACTTTGATTTTTGTTTCTGCAATGAAAATTTCCCCTTTGCTATATTGTTAAGTTAGCTAAGCTCATGTTCCACCCTGTCCTGTTTTTTTACATCTCTTCTCTGGGTTCTTGTGATTCTGCTTTGGGGTATACCTTTCAGAGGCAATTTTTAAAAATTATTTTATCTCTTTTAATTCATGGTTACACTCTTCAGCTGTTCTATTGCAGCGTTTTCTGGAGTTTTTTTTTTTTTTTTTTGTCTATTGGTTAAGTTGTGCTTTTTGCTGTTATTATTATTGCTTAAAAATACAATCCATATCAAATTTGTTTTTGTGTGTAGGTAGTATTCCAGTTTCTTTCTTATTTTATTTTGCATATGTTTACCCTATTGTAACAGTACTATTTGTTAAAAGGAGGGTTTTTTTCCCCATTGAATGGCCTTAGTACCATAGGCAATAATCATTGGTTGCATATGTGTGCATCTCTTCCTGGACTCTGTTGTGTCACATTGGCTTCTATATCTATTATTATGCCTGTCCTGATTGCTCTAGCTCCATAGTAAGCCTTAAACCAACTAGTATCATCTTATAACCTTTTTCTTTATTTTTGAGATTGATATGGCTAGTCTTGGTTCTTTGCATTTTCATATTAATTTTAGAATCAGCTTGCTGATTTCTACAAAAGATCCTGCTAGGATTTTTATTGGGATTGTGTTCAATCTATAGCTCAATATGGGGAGATGAACAAATTTGAAACTTCCAATCCACAAACTTGGTACATATCTCCATTTATATAGTTTGTTTTTAATAAATAGACTTATGTTTTCTTGTTTATAACTTTTGATGTTTTCCTCTTTTTATTATAGCATCATTCTATCAATGCTTTTCCAATTACCCTAATATTATTCTTGGATTCTCCTGGACCTGCTCTTTGCAGGCATTTCTTATAGAGGGAGAGGGGATAGAGTAGTCTTCTAACTGATACAAATATAGGCTGCTTCCAAAATATATGGTTGTTTGTTTTATTTTTTATATAGTCAAGACTTTCTTGGTTTTTGTTTGTTTGTTGATTTTAATCATATTGGCTTCAACCACCAGTGCTACCCATCCAATTTGCTGACCACATTTTGGCAAAGAATGAAGTGGGTCTTACCCCTTCAAGAAGTATATTGCTACTATTTTTGAGATCTGCCACTGTTGGGCATTCTTCTACACTTCTCTTCATAGCTTCACTGCAATCTCAGCAGTTGTTGGAAGCTCTTACATATTTTTTCAATATGCATATTGTATCTTTATTCTAGTTTCATTTAAAATTGAGTTTCAGAATGTTTTTGCTTTGTTTGAATTCTAAGAAAGAAAAAAAGATGCTGAGTTATATAGCCATGTTAAAATAAAGATTCTAATTTTGAAAAATCATATTTAAAACAGAATATATTAAACTCTCTAAACAAACTTATAAAATAGATTCTCCATATAGTACAATGAGGAATTATCTTATAGTGTTCTCAATGTCTACCTTGAGATGTGGGAGTTCTAGAGTCCCATCACCTAACCAAGAAATCTCTATTTCCAAAATATATAATCTTAAATAGAAAGACCTATTATGAAAGATTAAAACTAAATTAATCTGAACAATTAGTTAAAGCAAAACTTCTTCAATATTTTAATTTTTCTAATAGTCTTTTATCTGTATTCACTTAGATTCATAGGACTTTGGCATTTGAGAGCTGGAAGAGATACTAGGTTCAGTTTTGCAGAAAATTGAACTTAAGTATCTTGACATAGAGGCCACAATTGAGTGGCAGAACCATAGCACTTAGACAGAAAACTCCCAGCCCTTTATTCTTTTACTGGTACCTATAGCTTTCTTTGCTAGATCTGTAATAAATTATCAAGGACAATTTTTTCAATTTCAGTGTGAGAAAACAGATTTGAGTTAGATAAGGCTGTGTACTTTTGTTAATAACAAAACTAGAAATAGAATTCAGGTCCACTCAGGGTAGAGTCTCAATTATTGAAAGATCCAAATATTATGACAATCCATGGGAATCACTCTCTCTTCCCTGTACATACCTTTTATTCTTTGAATGTGCTGTTTCAGAATAGCTGTAATTGCTTTGGTTTTGATGTCCTTAGAAACAAAGATCTGGGTATACAGTGCATTAAAAATTACGCAACAAACTGTCTCATTGGCAGCTGCAGAAAGAGTGCTTTCTAATGGTGCAGGTCTTGTTCAGAGAGTAGTTTACGCTTAAGTGTTTCACTTATCTTCTTCCTTTTCTTCTTTCCTGGTCCCCTTACCACCTTCCTCATGTATCCAGATCACACCAAGACCATGAGTAATGAATGCTCACAAAAAAACAGTTGCAAGCCAAGACTGAAGGAGGCAGGAGACATCAAATATGGGCACAGCAGGAGCAGGGAAGATCCAGGGGGTCCTAGAAGCTGGGAGTTAAGAGACATGTAGGGATCTACAAACAAGAGATCCACAGAGTCTGTATATAGTCCGAGGCTAGGAAGATCAGAAATTAAACAAGTAGTCAAGACAGTGAACCTAAAGAATTAGGAGCCACAAGTGCTGAAAACTGAGGTAGATCGGAATCTCAAGGAAAAACTAGGTTGGAGCGGATGGGTGCAGGATCACTATTTTGCACAACTCTAGTGAGCACCATTCATGTTGTCTACTGTGATGAGCAGGCCAGCAACATTGGGAAGCTGACCAGTGTCTTTAAAAAGGTTAAAGTTGGGCCAGGCATGGTGGCTCATGCCTGTAATCCCAGCACTTTTGGAGGCCAAGGCAGGTGGATCACTTGAGGTCAGGAGTGTGAGACCAGCGTGGCCAACATGGTGAAAGCTTGTCTCTATAAAAAATACAGAAAAATTAGACAGGTATGGTGGAGTGTGACTGTAATCCCAGCAATTTGAGAGGCTGAAGCAGGAGAATCGCTTGAACCCAGGAGGCAGAGGTTGCAGTGAGCCAAGATTGCACCACTGCACTCCAGCCTGGGGGACACAGAGAGACTCCATCTCAAAAAAAAAAAAAAAAAAGGTTAAAGGCGAAACATGGGGACCTAAATCTCTCGTAGTAACTTCTACTGTCAAACATGCTCTGGGGAAAAGTACTGAAACTCACATGAAGGTTATGTCTCCTCAGGAACGTTTGCATGCTCATGAAAATCAAAGCAGTAAGTAAAAGGACTTAACGTTCAAATGGGAAAGACTCTGTGGGAAGAAGTGGTTTAGAGCATTCTTGGGCTCCCTGACCCCTCTCATTGGTTGATATGCTGCCTGGGAGCCTAGGTACCGGCCCTGGTAATTGTAGAGTTATGGGGCGAGCACCCCCACTCAGCTCCTCAGTTCAATACACACGCCTTTAATTTGATGTTTTTTAATTCAGCTCCAAGACTGTCGTCAGCCATTTTTTCCTCTCTCCTTTAACACTGACCACCTTGTTCTCTTTTATACTGTGAACAGAGCCAAGCAGTGTGCATTGAAATCCAACATCCTTTGTGTTGCTTGAGAAATCTGAGGCTGACATCTCCAGGGCTTTTTTGTTTCTCTTGCCTCTCTCCTCCCGTGACCTGCCAACTCCTTTTGGCTTTCCTGGGCTTTCGTCATGTCCCATATCGATTGCTCCCCTTTTCATTATTTGCAGGATGCTAAGGATAGACCCTGTAGCACAATGACGCTGGCTTTGGACGTTGATTAGGTCAGCCTCCGACCCTGGGCACGTAGGTCCAGTGATATTTCACCAGGCCAGGGTTGTTGTTTCATCAGCCACTCATAAAGGAACCAATTGATTTTTTTTTCCAGACTGCTATTCTAAACTCCCAAGATCTTTTCTGGGATTTTAGTCTGCTTCTTTGAATGCTCTTTTTCTGTTTCTTTTCCATCTTAGCCCTGTGGTTCTCAGGTACCCGATTTACTAATTACCCCCAATGCTGGCACCTGACAGCAGGTGGCCACAGTTCTGTTAATTATGTCCCCAGGCTTAGGAATTCTCTTTTAATGACATCCAATCATCTACCTCTGACTCTTGGGCTGAAAGCAGGTTGCAGGCACACTTCTCTTCCCTTGAGCTCTTAAAATCTATTCTTCTGACCTAGCACCTTAAGATTCATGTGTTATGCCTTGAAGGTATATGACAGAATAGCCAAATACTTAATTCCTTCTGCAGCAACTGGTGGAGTCACAGCTATTTCAGGATGAGGTGAAGATAGAGTCTGAGAATGGCCAGCATAGCTTTGATTTACCAGGAAAACAAGCCAGCTGGGAAGGTCCTAGTCAGAGGCATTCTGGGTAGACATGTAGTAAAGTTAGGCCCTTGTGTTATCTCTCTCAATCCCCCCAACCCAATGTAAACTGTTCTTTTAGGCCAAACCGAGGTTGTGGCTTTCCATAAGAGTCAAATGAAGAGTAGAGGGAGCCATCTGAAGTCAGTGAGAAACACTATGTGTAAGAGGCTTGGGTTTTGAGAGCAATAGACTGTAATCAATTATAATATTCATTCTATGAGTGGCTGGGCCTCTGTTTTACTCCATTAAATGGGGGAAATGTCCATTTGTGTTTCCTGGTTTAAAGTTCAGCCAAGAGAATTAATTGTGCAATATTTCCAGAAGGCTTTGTATTCCATGGAGGCAGGTACTGTGTATGTATATGTAAACACAAAAGATACGTAGATATATAGAAAATCCCTCATTGACTGTTTCCAAATACTGAAAGAAATGACTTATGGGTGAGGAGAGCTGTCAAGCAGAGAGTTTTGGCCAATCTGTAGGTATTTTAAAGCAATCACGATGGATGTGGGGAAAGAAATCAATGGAAACATTATCAATAGGGATTTCATTGTAAATACAATATGCTAACAGTCTAGTCATCAAAAATACTGCCTGTCTGTAGTGTAAGCAAATTAAAAAGAGGAAATAAGATATTTGCATATAACTAATAAAAATACAATAAAAAATGCACTTAGTCTCACAACTGATGAGGCGAGGATGGGGGAAGGTGGGGGAAATAGATAAAATCAGTCCTGTTCAAGGTCAAAGGTGTCTTATCTGGTCCATATTGCAATCACAATTTTTATATATGTGTCATTGCAATTGGTTCTCATGATACCCCTGTAAGATTGTTAGGGCAGGTTTTCCTTTTATATTTGAGGAAATTGGCCCAGCGGTTTTACCCAGGGTCATACAAGGTGCGCACAGGGATGTTTGAACTTGATCTTGGTCACTTCTCTTGAGCTAGGAAACTTCTTACAATTCCACATTTTCTCTGGGAATTAGGTATTTTCTTTGAGCCCTCACTTCTGTCCTGATACTCTGTCCTCTGTCTTCAGAGAATCTTGTTTTCATTGGTCCCTCTCTAATGACTTGGTACCCTAGATCCATTGAATGCCTGTTCTCTGTCAATAAGACCTTCCTCTTGAGTCAGCAACTCCCCCAGGGCTGCCCTGAATGATGATGCATCTTCCGGCCCTGGCGGGTTTCCAGCCCCTCTCTTCAGCTGATTCTACCTGAGAAGCCTCCCAGCCTGGAACTTCCGGACATTGCCCAATCAAAGGGAAGCCCCCAGAAGGAGAAGATAAGAAGGAAATAATTTAGGACTGCCTAAACAAATGTACACTAAGATTCTCGGCAGCTGCATAGTTTCCCTTCCAGATGCAGGTTGGCCTGGTTAGAAATAATTCAGGTTTTCTTGCTGAGCTCACTGATTGTTTGTCCACTATTCACTCCAGCACTGATTAAATAACACTCGAGGGATTTTTAATTTGTACTCGATTTTGTTGAGTCTTCTCTTTCATGCTTTCTCTCTCTAGTTAGTGAACTCGCTGCACTTCCCTCCATCTCTCTCTAAGGTTGTCTGAAATCTTCTCAATCAATTGACTCCCCTCCACTTACTTGCAAATATATTTGGGAGCTTTGGTTCTCATACAAGTCAGGGTGCCATATTAAGAATGCTATTGGATATGCAGGTTAATAAATATGCCTGCATTATGACCATTGCATCCACATCTCCGTACCAGGTTTAGACCTAGGGAAAAATTATCACCGTCTTAGGGCCCTTCCATCTCCTCTCCACCCCTGTCATAATTTTTCCTGACCACTGGGAGACTGAGACAGAGTAGCAGTGGTAAGGATTTATGGCTCATCCTTGGTATGTGTAAATAAATTGCATCATTGCAATGAGATCCAGACTCATACAACAGACTGTCCCTGCCGGCTTGGCTATGTTCTCTGCTCTGCAGACAACAAAAGATGACAGGTTGTAAGTTCCAGCATCAGAAGAGAGCAACTGGCTTCCGTTGGCAACCTTACTTGTCAACCGGCAGCTCCAAGAAACAAGGTCATCTAAGGACAGGCAGGGGCTGATGCATTTGAAAGTAGAGGAAGCAGCAAAGGAAGTGTTGACTTCAATTTCATGGGACTGTAATGCCACAGGCTCCCATTCTCCTCACACTTTCCTTCTTTTCTAGAGTACGTCTTCATCTCTCATCTCACCTTGGTACTAGGGTCAGAGTGTAAGAACTAGAGTAAGAAGCACTGCCTTTTCCTGAATGTGCTCATGGAAAGGACTCCAGGACAGCCTCTGTGGCTATGGAAATTATCTACTGAGTAAATGTCTCTCTGTGATCTATACCACACCTAGCCAGGTTGGCATCATCTGATACCAGTAAGGAATTAGGTATCACCCATTAGTTTTTTTTCAATGGAAGGCTCCCACGTACTTAAATTCAATATTCTAAATCCAGTTAGAAGTTAGATCACAAATAAAGGATTATTTTTAATAAATATTTTTAAATCAGGATTTTATTTTGGAATAATTTTAGACTTATAGAAAAGTTGCAAAGATAGTGCAGAGAGTCTCTATATACCCTTCACCTAGTTTCTAGAAGATGTTTTCATACTTAGATGTTAATAAAGCTGACTAATGCTTTCCTTTTTTTTTTTTTTTTTTTTGAGACGGAGTCTTACTCTGTCACCCAGGCTGGAATGCAGTGCTGAAATCTCAGCTCACTGCAACCTCCACCTCCCAGGTTCAAGCAATCCTCCTGCCTCAGCCTTCCGAGTAGCTGGGATTACAGGCACCCGCCACCACACCCAGCTAATTTTTGTATTTTTAGTGTAGACAGGGTTTTGCCATGTTGGCCAGGCTGATCTTGAACTCCTGACCTCAAGTGATCCACCCACCTCGGCCTCCCAAAGTGCTGGGATTACAGGCATGAGCCACCATGCCTGGCCTGACTAATGCTTTAAATAGGACCAATATAGACTTTTAAAATGTGTTAGGCCCATCTAATGTGCAACAGCATCTCTTCTTACAGCCAGGGTCCTTACTGCCCACTCAGTGTCTAATCGCTTTTTGGCTCTAGGATAAGGCTGACCAGTGTAGGAGGAACCTTAGCAGACCCAGTACCATATCCTGGCCCTCAGCCACAAGTTTCCCTATGGACAGCCCAGCCAGCCCTTGGGTCCCAGGTCTGAGCAAGTGCACACTGGACATCCACATTGGGAGGAGTGCTCCCCTTCAGCCTCCATCAGGATACCTGAGAACTATGTGCTTACCTCCTGGCTTAGAAAATAACTCACTCCCTTGACCTTGCTTTTTCCAGTCCTTTCTATGGGCTCCCACGGGCCCTGCCCAGCCCTTGCTGCTTTCCAGGGTATATTCCTGGTACTGTCTGTGCTTGGGTCTTAAATGTTTCCTCCCTAGACTCTATCTACTGCACTGTCACATAAGACCTCACCCTGGCACCCTCTACTTGCCTGAAATGAGGCCTGTTGTCACCACACTCTCCACATTTTGTGTCCTAGCTGCTGGACTGCACCTTCTTTTGATCCCCATTTTCTGCGATTAGTTGGTCTAGACCCATGTCCAGACCCTTCCCGGGCTTCTCCACTCTGCTCACACTGACCAGAGTGAGCCAGGCTTGATTACATATGAGTTATGATAATACTCACTTTATTCAGTAATTTTTATACAAACATGTACTGTCTCGCACTTTCTGGGCTCCATTATTGAAGGCCGTGGAGACGGTTAATACAACTGTTTCCAAAGAGTTTGTGGTCAGAAGAGACAGGCAAAAAAGTGAGAGTTGCTGAACTGGAGGGTGGTCATTAAGAGGAAGATAGCCCAGCGTAAGGGAAGAGGTAGCACTCAGTTATCTAGAAAAGGGCACAAAGGAAGAAAAGCAGGCTTGAGCAGAACAATAAGTGCTGTCATTTTGGGCATGTTCTATTTGAAGCAGGTACAGGACCTTCAGATGAAGATGTCCATTAAGTCTCAGACATAGAAGCCTGGAAATAGGAGGGAAATGTGGGCTGAACTTTTGAAGTTACCCAGATACAGGGACAAATTGAATCCTAAGGCCGTCCAGAGATCCTGGGTAGAAGGAGAAGAAGGTTAAAAGGGGGCTTGAAGGAATTCAGTTAAGGGATGGGGGGGAAAACACAGTAATTTCTGAAAATGTCTCTCCAACTGGCAGCGTTAAAGGCACAAAGGAAGTGGCATTCACTCACTCCCTCTGTTCCCCACATCTGAGCTGTCTTCCTGTAGTGCAATCTGCCCAGGCAGGCAGCAGCCGGACATTGCTCTTTGCTATTGTTGGGAAAAGAACAAGAAAGCTGAATGTCATGGCCACTGCCATTAAAGCATAACTCATTCTCCTCCAGGTTGTTCAGGGTCCTAGTAAAGTCAAAGCAGAAGCTGTGGGATCTTGGCACATCCACAGTCCCTGAATGGATTTTTCTATCCTCATCCATAATCTGGGGGGGGCGGAAGATACTGCTCAGTGACATTCAAAGAAAAGCAATCTGTGCTCCTAAGACAGAGGTTCCCTGGGGATCATCAAGGCAGCAGGAGTGGGGTTGGAACTAAATGTCCAGGTTCTCAAAGAACTTCCAGTGCAATGAGGACTCCCAAATAGGCTAATTGGTTAAGAATAAACTCTAGACTCTGTACTTGGGAACTAGAGAAACAAGTGGATCTGTATCAGGCAAGAAAAAAAAAACATCAAGACAAAAATGTGTAATTGTAATGATAGTGCCCAGAAGTATAACAGGCATACTGAGCTTCCAAATTATTAATTGTGTTGAATTAACTCAGTGATAAATAAGATGATTGATTAATGATGAATATCATTCTAAAGCTCCAGGCAGGGAAGAAGTAGCATGATTATTATACTGTGGATCTTTGTCAACTCCCTGTTTTCAAGGCTAATCCACAGTATATGTGTTTCCCTGGGAAATTTGAGAAAACAATATGAGTTGCTCTTGGATCTCCTATCTGAAAACATTTGTTAAAACAAAACAAAACTCTCGAGTCTCCAGCAACCAGTCAGATGTTCTAACAGGGTTCTCAAGCCACTTGAACTGGAGGAGGCTCCCAGAGAGGTATTTCTAAGTAACACAGATGAGTTATTGTCAGAGGCCTGGGTATCTAAAGACTTCAGGCAAACACTATCCTTATCCTGTTAATAGAGAAGCCCAGAGCCTTGATAAGTCCCCCTGTATCTCCCCGGAACAAGTTCACCCAGAGAGAAAACACAGGAACAGACCAATCTCTGCTGCCAATAAGGCTCACTGATGCTGCGGGCAGCAGGGAAAAGACTGGAAATGGGAGGAGAATCTGAGAACTGCATGCAACAGTATCCTTTCTGGAGTGCAAACTTTTTCTCATCTGTCTGGAAAGCAGTCACATGATTTGTCCTAAAAAAATTTCTGCAATCTTGTGCCCTAAGAATAAGGAAGGAAGGTTGATTTTCTCATTTGATCTTCTTGTCATTCCTATAAAGAACAGATATCAACATGTTCCATTTTCAGAAGGAAAAGCAGAAACTTCATTTATTTATCCAGCAAATATCTATTGAGTACGTCCTAAATACCTGCCCCTACTACGTGACAAACGTAAGATATGATCTTTTCCCTTACGCAGCTTGCAATTTGAGGGGGGCAGATAATAAATAAGAAAACGCAGTTTCAAAATTTAATAATGCTGAAAGATAATAGATACAGTAGATTATGTTATTTGTTCAAAATATTTGCTGTCTCATTCCCTCTAAGGTAGCTCCCTGCTGCCCCTCCCTGTGGGAAGTGTAGTCTTATCTCACTGTGATCAAGCTTGGACCTATGACTTGCCTTGACCAATGAACCAAGAGTGGAAGTTATCTATGCCTCCTCGTCTAGACAAAAGTTTGAAGAACCACTATATGGTTTTGCCAGCACCTTTTTCCTTCTGCCTCATAAATGGAGTGTCCCAGAAAGGGGTTGCTTTTTCTACCTGCTTCCTATCTACATGGAGGAGACCTCCGCCTCCCCACAGCCCTTAAGAGTGTGACAAGAATGAGAAACAAATCCTTCATTGCTATAAGCCACTAAGATATAGGGACTGCTTGTCATTGCAGCATAACCTAGTGAAATCTGTTAGTGCAATGGGTATGTTTGTATGTTAAGGGGAGGAACAGAAGGGGACTCTTTAGATCAAGCTTGTCCAACCCACCACCCATGGACAGCTTTGAATGCAGCCGAACACAAATCCATAACGTTTCTTAAAACATCATGAGATTTTTTTTTGCATTTTTTAAAGCTTATCGGCTATCATTAGTGTTAGTATATTTTATGTGTGGCCCAAGACAATTCTTCCAGTGTGGCCCAGGGAAGCCAAAAGATGGGACACCCCTGCTTCAGATGGTCTGTGGGAGCTTGTCTCAGGAGCTGACTTTTTTTTTTTTTTTTTTTTTGAGACGGAGCCTCGCTCTGTCGCCCAGGCTGGAGTGCAGTGGCATGATCTCAGCTCACTGCAAGCTCCGCCTCCCGGGTTCACGGCATTCTTCTGCCTCAGCTTCCCCAGTGGCTGGGACTACAGGCACCTGCCACCACACCCGGCTAATTTTGTTTTTGTATTTTTAGTAGAAACGGGGTTTCACCGTGTTAGCCAGGATGGTCTCGATCTCCTGACCTCGTGATCTGCCCGCCTCGGCCTCCCAAAGTATTGGGATTACTGGCGTGAGCCACCACGCCCAGCCAGGAACTGATATTTTTATTGACACACATGAGGTCACTGTGTACCCAACATAGTCACTAAGTTTCCTCAAGCCTGTTTGGACTATTTCTCCGCAGATGACTCTGTGTTCACACAAAGCTGGATTCTGAGTAAAATTCACAGAGCACATGATGGAAAGATGCATAACTGGATTTCCATGCAGATTCATGAAAATTCCAAATGATTTCTCAAACATTTGTGTTTGGATTAAGTCCAAAGCATGATTTGCCTCAAGCTCCTTGCTCCTTAGTTTTAAATCTGTATGGATCATCAGGAAAATGAAATCCATACGTTTCTCATTTATTCATACTTACTTCATCAAAATACAGTTTGAAAGACTCACTTGATGCTTTAAGCACTTGAAATCATATTTTCCTTCCCAAATAGGGAAACTGCCTGTAGTCTGTGCCTCAAAGGAAGAAAATGTGTTCATCCTTTTGCAGTGCGGTGAGGTCTCAGCTCAGACTTCTTCTCTCTGTTGGACTCAATAAAAACGTCTTCCAAATACAGCCTGCGTTATCATCACCACGTTGCAATCTACCAAATTGAACCATGATGTCCAGCCATCAGAACGAGATATATTTCTTTCAAGAAAATGAAAGATTCAAAGCCAATGAGTCCAACATTTCTCCCAGGCACCGGCACTTTCCACTGACAGTCCTTTTCTTTGCAACCAGACAACTTCAATGTTTCTATCTTACTTTTAGCTGATAAGAAAAGTCATTTTGAAATCCCACTTGCTTTCGTATTAGGAAAACATTAAACATTTTTGGCATGTCATAACTAGCTTTTTCTCCCTCACCCTCAGTTATTTTAATCTCTCTCCCTCGACACCAAACCACATGTAATTCCCCAAACATGACCTGTTTCGGTTCCTTTGCAAATGCTGTCCTCACTCACTGGATGCCTTGATCCCCTCAGTCCACCCAGGTGCCTTCGAGATTCTGCTGGAAGGCTCTGTGGTCCACGTGCAATTACATGCTTCATCTCCAGTGTTTCCATGTGGCTGTACACATATTTCCACTCACATTTATCTCATGGTGTAATTATTTATATTCAGAGTAATCTCCTCCAATAGATTTTGTCCTATTTGAGGGCAGTAAACAGGCCTTCCTTTGTCTTTGTTTCTGTCTCAATGCCAGATAAGAGATCTTCAATCACTGTTCACTGGTTGAAAAAATGGTTAAATCCATGCAGGGCTGAGTGACATTTAATAGTCATTACCATATCTTTACTGTATCTATACTATGTAGAGATTTACTATATCCTTACTATATCTATAGTGAGAAAATATATATTCTAGGTTGGGGAAGTAGGGATTCAAGTTTCATGTGTAATAAAATATATCAGAGTTGGCATTTTTTCAAATTAGTAATTAAAAAATTCTGTTGCTGAAATGAAAGCAGAAACAGAAGAGAGACCGCCAATTATCCAGAGTATTCAGACAATGTGGAGATAGTCTAGATAGGGGAGGCAGTGCATCCTCCACAGCTTCATAGGTCGGCTGTGCTCCATGTTAATTATGCTTTTATAATTTTTCCAGGATTTATTGTCCCCCCTACATCTCTAGACCTTGTTGCTAACCCAATTTAAGTCTCTGAAAGTGCTGAATTTTAGATAATTGAACCGAAGTAATAGTTTCTAGGGGGAGGCATGGGAAAGACCAGGCAGTTTTTTCATAACTTTTCACATATAAATGCTCTCTGCTTATCTATCTTTATACACACCATGTATGTGTATGTGTGTATACATATGTATGTATGTATATATACACACATATGTACACACACAAATATATATTTTATATATGTAAGAGTATATACATGCACACATACATATATAGGTAATATTGTATGTGTGTTTCTGTGTGTCTATGTTCATTTAACCTTGGATGTGAATATATTATCAGATCAATTCAAATCCAACCTTCTAATTACCATGTTGCCCTAAAGGAAAATTCTAGATTCCTACTGTGTGCAAGATAAAAAAAATTAATGCATTAACCACACATTATTACAATAATAAGAAATACCATAAAAGCTGAACGGATTCTGGCCTTCACGTTTTCAGTATCAAAAAGAAGAAAGTGATGATTTAAAGAGGAAATGAGAAACTAAGCAAGTAATTCAAACAAAGTGCATGTGTCTTCTTTTGAAATAATGAAAGAGTCCATTAAAAGTTTTCTTATTGACCTCTCCTTGCCTCAAAACTTTGAGAAGCTCCTCCAATTTTTTCTGTTTGTTATGTTAAAACCATGGGTTGAGCAGTCTAGGGAGAGCTCAGGGGTGACGGGAATAAACTTCATTGGGTATTTCAGAGTCAGAAAAACCTTAACTCACATTAAAACTGTAAGCACTGAGAAGTAGGAAACGGTGATTCTTATCTCCTAAAGAGTTTTATAGTCATCAATGCCCAGAGTAAGCTGATGGACTGGGAGTGGGTGACCTTGATAGATATAACTATGTATGGGTTCATTGTACCATGAAATTAAATTTTAAATCTGAATTGATGAACAAAAATGCTGGTTTGATATTTTTGAACAATAACTTTAATAATTTTGTAACTATTTCCTTTCCATTATAATTGATCTAAATTTGGGACTATGCAAGGAAGCTCCCGTTTTCCAAAAGACTGTAGCTGAGCTCTGCCACTAATTAGTAAATTTTAAATGTAAGTAAAATTAGTACATTTAAAATGTTTCTGGAATAATGGGACTGATTATCCATGGATTAGAAGGATCTCCATGTCTTCATCCTTTTTTTTTCCTTCTTCTTGCTCCTTTACAGAGACTGTCCTCTCCTCCCTCTTGCTGTGCTATTGATGCCCCTCCACAGTCTTTAGGACCCTATTGCATTACACATCTCCACTTTTTCATAGCTCAATCCCTCCCTGTCCACTCTTCCTCAGCTCAGGTTTCTCTTTTTCTGGTCCATGCAAATATCCTATTTCTTCTCCTTTATTTCATAAGAAAGACAATTTTAAAAGGGGTCTACTTTTTTTGCTTCACTTTTCCATCACATGCACTCATGTATTGACACCAAATAACAGCTTCCTCTATAATCTCTTAACTAAACTGCAGAATCCAACAGCCTCTTTCCAGTCCTCATCCTACTGCTTTCTTTGTGTGGGCATTGCTAACGCTTCTCTTCTTAAGAACCTCTTCCTTCTGGCTTCTAGGACAAAGGCTTCTACTCCTTTGTTTATGACCTTTTCCTGTTTGCTGTGTTTTCTCCCATATTCCCCAAGGTCCTACCTTGGCCCTGATCTTACTTGCTCTGCCTTCCCCCATTTCCCTTCATCAGTCTCATGCTTTCTTGTGCTTGCACCACCACTGTTTCAGATGGCTCCCAAAACTGCACCTTCTATTCTGGCCTCTCATCTGAGCACTTGTGCCATAATCCTATTTGTCTTCTTGACATTCTCACATGGATGTCCTCCTAGCGTCTCAGAATCAGTAGGACTAAAACGCAAATCATAACCTATTTCCCCATACCAGCAATTGATTCCAAGATAGAAAGAACAAGATACATAAAAATCTTGAGAAGCTCTTGCTGAATTGTTTGTTGTTGTTGTTGTTTGTTTGTTTGTTTGTTTTTTGAGACGGAGTCTCGCTCTGTCGCCCAGGCTGGAGTGCAGTGGCGCAATCTCGGCTCACTGCAAGCTCCGCCTCCCGGGTTCACACCATTCTCCTGCCTCAGCCTCCCCAGTAGCTGGTACTACAGGCGCCCGCCACCATGCCCGGCTAATTTCTTCCGGTATTTTTAGTAGAGACAGGGTTTCACTGTGTTAGCCAGGATGGTCTTGATCTCCTGACCTCGTGATCTGCCCACCTCAGCCTCCCGAAGTGCTGGGATTACAGGCGTGAGCCACGACACCCAGCCGAATTGTTTTTGTTTGTTTTGTTAAAACCATGGATTGAGCAGTCTAGGGAGAACTCAAGGGTGGCAGGGGAATACACTTCATTGGGTGTTTCAGAGTCAGAAAAACTTTAATTCATATTAAAATTGTGAGCACTGAGAAGTAGAAAACAGGAATTCTTATCTCCAGAAACTTCCAAGTTCTGAGCAGTGAAGAGCTGGAGTAAGGAGTGTATGTGGAGACTAACTGTACCAGTTTCTCTTCAGGGTATTTTAGGATTCTTTTTTTACTTGCTATTTTACTTACTATTCATTCATTCATTTATTCATCCAGCTATTCACTTACCCTGCTATTCCTCATTCATTCATAAAGCATTAGTTATGAAAATTATTTGTGCAGGAATATAAACATCAGTAAGACATAGTCCTTGATTTCAAAGAATTTCATAGGAAGGGACAAAAATTTCGTTAAACTTTTCAGATGCTATGATAGAAATATTCAACATTTGGAACCAAGTAGGAGATGGCCAGCACCACTGGGGACAGATAAGTTTAGGAAATGTTCAAAACTAGTTGGCACAAGACACATAATGAAGGATAAGTTGGTATTCATCATGTACGCAGGCTTGAGATACTGCCTGAACAGAGGCATCAGGATCTTAAACAGCCTAGTGTCCCAACTAGACAGAGGCAGGGAGACTGAGAGGTGAAATGACAGCGGTAGGCATGGCCGGATAGTGAAGATGCTTGTTCTCACCATGCTTAGGAGTAGAAGTTTTGTCCTGTAGTCTTTGGAGAGTTCTGAAGAGTTTGAGATGGGAGAGTCCCCACTAGAAAGTGGATTAGTTTCCTAGGGTAGCCAAATACCATCAATGGATGGCTTAAAACAAGAGAAACATTCTCGCACAGCTTTGGAGGTTAGCACAGTTCCCAAGGGCCATGCTCTTTTTTTTAATCCTCTAGGGGAGGTTCTTCCTTGCCTATCCTAGGTTCTGGTAGCCCCAGGCACTCCTCGGTTTACAGCAGCCCACACCACCAACCACAGTCTCCTTCATCATCACATTTTCTCTTGCTATCTCTGGGTCTCTCCTCTTCTCACCAGTCATAATGGCTTAGGGACCACCTTAATAACCTTAGCTTAGCTTGATTATGTTTGCAAAGACCCTATTTTCAAATAAGATCACATTCTCAGGTACTGAATGTGAGGAATTCAACCTATCTTTTTAGGGGAAACAATTGTTCAAGCAATAACAGGGAGATGTAATTTTATTTTATCTTTGAGCTCCTGCTACCATCACCCTGCTCAAGTCTAACATTTACTGTTCAGACTTTAGGCTCTAGTCCAGTGAAACTCACAGCTTCCTTTATTTTACTCCTCTTGGAGCAGCTGGAATAGTTTCCAATTTTGAAATAGAACTGTATTAAATGCTAAAGAGGAATAAAAGGAAATTATTGAGGAAATGTCATCTGTATAACAATAATTTAGTTTCCTAAGTACAGATATATTTGTCTACCATCCTGTTTAAAAAAGCAAAGAGGTTTATTTGGTTTCCAAATCTCTTTCCACTAATCATACTACTGTTACCACCAGTACTGTTTCTTCTACCACCACCACCACTATTGCTGCTCCTGTCGCCACTAGCAGATTGCTGGCAGCTATCATATATGAAGTGTGTATCTTGTGCCAGTCACCATACTAGTTGCTTTATTTAATATGTTTCATTTAATCCTTATCAAAATAAATAAAAATGATGAGGTGTTTATCAATATCCCATATTATTGATAAGGAAACTAAAAACTTGGATGGAAATAAAGGAGCTTCCCTAAAATTACACGGCAAGTAAATAACAGAACAGGCAGTCGGTGTCAGAGAACTCAAGGAGAAGAAGCAGGTTTTTGCTGCATGGAAGAAACCAGGGTCATGCATACAAAGATACCTCAATGCCTGACTCGCTGTAGGTCACACTAAATGTTGGACACGCCCAGGCTCGTGTCCTTTCTGCCCCTAAGTGTCTTCTCTACTGTTTATCTAACAAAGTGCTTGGTTGAGATGGGAGCATAGCCTTTCTCATCTCAAAGCACTTCCCCAGAGCCAAGACTCATAATTCTCTTAAACAGGACATTCTATGGGGAAAAGTGGGGTGGGATAAGTGTTGATCTGAAGTGTGGTCACCCAAATATGGGCCAAAGACAAATTAATAGATGACATTTGAATGTCATTTATTTCTTGCCATTCTCTTAGATTAAAGGCTCTGGGCAGTGAGGAGGAAAATAGTAAAAACTCAACTGCATCCTTCTCTCATGTGGTTTTGAGAGGATTCTTCATGCATTGTGTAGGTTTATGTTGTGCTCATTTCCAACAACTGAACCAGCCAGACCATCTTCAGATGTAAAATAATTAATCAGTCCTGGATTTAGTAGAGCACTGTCAATGCAAGAACATAGGTCACATCCCAATGAACTATGCCTATCTCTGAGAGTCATCCTATAGACACCCTATTCTACCATACCCTCAGTGGGGTTGATAGCTAGGGCAGACAGCCCCTTTCACAGATTTTAGAGATTAGGATAACAGTTCTTTATCATCATCCACATTTATGAAGCATGTATCATGTTCTAGGCACATCTTCAAATGGGTTATATATCTCACAATAACCCTATAATATAAGAAATACTATCTGCATATTTTAGATGACCATATTGAAACATTGTTAGGTGGGTAACTTATCCAATGTTGCACAACTAGTTCAGTGACAGCTAAGTTGCAAAACTGGATCAAACAAACACCGTGCTTTGCTTAACATTCACAAATCTGTATTTGGGGCAGCATGACCTTGCTTTCTGTGCAAGACCCAGGGATACTGTTTCCCATCAATAGATCTGTTATGCCTTTCGCTCCTCTTTGTGCTAAGTTCCCACCCTGGACACCATCCACTGCTTATATTTTTAGATTGCCTGTACCTTTTAGTATGACCTACAATCTCCCAACACTGACTTCAGTCTACTAACAGCCCTGCCTCAATTAGCCTCTGCTTTTTGCCTATCTTTCCAGTTTGACCTGAAGTCAGAGAAGTTAAGTTCAGCCTCATATTCTGTATTCATGAGATCACACTGCCTCTCTTTCTACAGAGCCTTACACTCTGCAATAAAGCCTCTGTCTTGTGTTCTGTGCCATCAGCCATACCCACTGCAGAACCATTTCTTATCCTTCTTATTCTTCAGATGCCCCTTACTGGCCCAAACAAAGAGACCAATGAGAAGGACTATGTGGCAGTGTTAATGAGAAATCAGAAACCAGACATTTTGAGGAAAAGCCACATTGACCAAGAGTTGTCAACAACTTTCTCCCAGAGGCAGTGACTTTATTTCCAAAGATCATAATCACTCAACTTTGAAGTCTTCAAAGTCTGTTCTTCCTGGTGAGTGTGTGTGTGTGTGTGTGTGTGTGTGTGTGTGTGTGTGTGTGAGAGAGAGAGAGAGAGAGAAAGAGAGAGCGTAATTATTTATTTGAACATGGAAATAGAATCTTCAGAGAAGCAATTACGATGCAGAACTGACAGCTCTTGCTTCCTAAGTTCAAATGGTGTATTGCAGCTTCTGCAAATTGGCTCATTTTCCTCTATCATCTAAATGCCCCAGATCTTCCTTGGTGCTCAAGTGCAAAGCTGCTCAAGGAAGATGAAGTATCCATCCAGCTCTTTGCCAAGGAAGCAATTACTTATAGCCCTAAGAGTTTTCTGTAGCACAAGCAATAATAATGGCTTATATCATCATCACTACCACCACCATCATATCATCTTATTTGGCATTTTACAGTGCAATCACAAAATGTTTCCACAGCGAATTTATACTTTGATCCTTATTAAAACTACCCCATGATTTAGGCATTGCTATTCCCACTTATATATATGAATACAGAAGTTCAAAGAGGTCAAACTACAAGAGAGTAGAATCTGTGCTAACCCCCTTGCCTCCTAACTTCTAGACCTGACTTGTTCCTTTATATCATGTTGTGCACAGTCAGAGGTAGATGATCTCTTACATAGGCAAGCAATGTGATATAGTGGTTGGGAACAGTAATTCTGGAGGGAGACAAAATTAATCAAATCGCGTAGGGGTTCAAATCCATGCTTTTTTGCATGCTAATTGTGTGGCCTTGGATATGTTTTCAATTGAAACTCAGTTTCCTCACCTGGAAAATTGTGTTTGTATGTCTACCTATGATACTGGAGAGAAAATTAAATAAAATAATTCCAGTAGAGTAATCAGGCTCAGTGCAGTGCTTGATACAAAGCAAGTGCTCAATAAATGGGAATTCTATTACCAGAGGTCCACAATCATCCTTCTTCAATTCACGGCTATGTAAAAGCTCTGAAAATCAAAATGATAAATAATTTATTTAATCACAAAACCCAAACTAAATAAACCTGAGGCTAACTTTGTATTTCTTATCTTTAATGAAGTTGTTTTTAACTTCATTTATGCAACTTAGCTGTGCTGCAGAATTATCACTACCTTTGCTGCCAGAAACCCCACCGGGAGTGACATAATATTCAATATATGAAATACATTACCTTTCTAAAATTTAAAACTTCTGAAACACAACTTTCTAGGAGGGTGTTGGCAAATGACACTGGGTTCACGCTTCCATACAGGTGATACTAGCATTAGTAAAGGGTGTTAGTATTTTTAGTGTGCCAAATTCCTTAGGTATTTGTTTCTTTGGCCTGCTGGGGATGGACTATCTTGCCCCTCGTTGTGGAGTTCTAGAGGCCTGGAGCTGAAATGGAAAAGATAGCCTGACAAAGTGTTAGCCATAGGGATGACTGAGAGGTAAGTCTTGTCAGGTGCCTGAGAAAACAGAGGAAGGACACAGAGGGGAGGGGCCAGCAAAAGGAGTTGTGCCAGAATGGGCCCTCCAAGAAGAAGACACCAATCCAGAGTTAAACCTGCAAGAGACTGAGCGGAGGAACCACCTGCAAAGGATAAGGGGAAGGCGAAGCAAGAGTAGGCGAGGAAGGTCCACAGACCGCAGTGCTGGTCCAGCACCTGTAAAAGGAGAAAGAAGAGAAAGAAGGGCTGACTAGGAAAAACCTCAGATGGCAGCAGAGCTCTGAGAGTTTGAGCCAGGCTGATGGGGAGCCCTGGAGTACATTTTTGTGAAGGAAGTCCTGCTATGGGCAGGAATAGACCAGCCCTAGTGCTTTCCATGATCAGCCATTGGCTTGGAGCACCCTGGAGAGACTGTGGTCTCAGCATGGGCAGATCTGAATGGATAGCACCTGGGGGTTGTCAGCCGACCACATCCCCCCAGCAGTTCTCTTGCAGCAAGGTCTGAGAGGCATATCTCTATGGCAACTATGAAAGTCAAATTTTGTCAGAGGAGGCACTCTGAGCCAGGCAGAAATGCATCAAAATGAGAGCAAATTAAAAGCAAGTAAAGTGAATGAAAGTGCATGATAAGCCAATTTCTAAAGACCTCAGAGGTTATTCCTAATTTACCTTTCTGGGCAGTGGATTTGTGCATTGGCCCAGGTGACTTAGGTACATGTCAGGGATTCTGATTTGTTAGGAATTTGTTTTTGGTTCATCTCACCATCCCCAGAAAAGAGAAGAGGCTATTGGGTCACACACCCAATCCCTGTGGTCATCTAGGGTAATCCATCACACCATCGCTCCTCCCTTCAGTCCTTTTTTAGAACACTGTTTATGGAATTCCAACACAATACCCCACACACAGCAGATTCCCTGGAGCTACAGTCCATGGTCTAGCGCTGAACCTGGACATTGTTGCTTGAACACAAGGAGACACTGTGTTCACTTCTGTGTGTTGAAATTACTGCTCAGGGCTCGGTCCTCTAGAGATTACTTCTTGGGTCTGATAGCTCCACTGAAAGATGAAGGCCTTCTCTTTCTCTATCCCTCCTTTGGACTTTTCCAGCACTCTCTGACTTCAACAGAATGCTCATTTAAAAGAAATGCTTTAGAGTCTTATTCTGAGCTGAGGAGTTTGGAACTAGTCTTTATCTAGGACACGGAAACTTGCTGGTGTTGGCAGACAATACTGTTCAAGGGAACGGAAATCTGTGTCAATCGATGTTTTCCTCAAAGATCAATATAGTACTAATATATTTAGTGTTACTGAACTTCATTAAATATGTATTGGTTCTTCTTATTCTCAGCTTAAAATCATTGTAAGTGTATTCTGCATGCAAATGAGTATTTAGAAATGATGAACAAATTGAGGCTCAGATTGCTGTAATGCCCCGTTTCCAAGCATGAGGTGTTTGCCCAAGCTCAGGCTTCATTCACAAAATTAAGATTCAAGGAGCACTGTATATTGAGTTCCTTAGTATGACTCTTGGCACAACTCTAGATGGACTAGTTTCCTGCAGACTGAGTAGTCATGTGCCCTCCTAATGCCAATGGAAATTGAGATGGGCATTGAGAAAGAACTTTGGTAAACTATAAGCAAGAGTAATTTTTGGACAATGCCATTTTGAGGCAAGCAGGACTTGAAAAAATAAAACGCAGCATATATTTCTACAGACAGCTCCATCTGGCCCTTCTTAAACAGCCCATGTCTGCCCCTCAGTTTGCATTTCAGGAGAAAGAGGACAGCCCAGGGCTACATGGGTTGGGAAAAAGATGACTTTTTAATTACAAAGTTGGCCAAGTAATGAACATATCTATAAATTAAGGGAGGATATGTCATAATCTTTGAAGTCTCTTGCAAGGCAAAAACTCCAAGAGACTCATAAATAACATTTAGAAGATGATTTTGCAGGAGTGAAAAAACACAAAGTTCAATTCGTTCAGCCTCATCGATGGCTTTACAAAAGTTTGTTCTCTGACGTACAGATATGGCCATTTGAGTTTTGATTAGAAAGTTTCTTTTTCTTCTCAACACTAGGAGAAAATGGGGCTTATGCCCATCAAATCCTAGATGAATTTATAATAGAGCATGAGATTTGCAGTCATCACCTGTGATCAAGGTGATTCTGCTTGCTCTACTTTACATCTCTCTACCTTTTCCTGTCTATAAAATAGGGTCAATAAATATGGGCCTCATGTAGCTGATATATGACCTAAATGTGATAACTGACACAAGTTGCCTGCAAATATGATGTGATCAAAAAACGGCAGTTCCCTCCCATACACAAACACCAGAATCAATATGGGTTATAGCATCCCTGTGTCATTCTTTATAATTCAGAAGGATGAAAGAATTGGGCCTTAAAAGGGTCATGGGAGGCACAGGCAAAAGCAAGCAGACGTGAATGGTGCTTTTTAGGTGTGCAATAAACTCCCGGAGAATATATATGCTCAAAGGTGAAAATCAATGCCACTTTCCTCCAGGATAGAGCACCTCTCAAAAAGAGAAAGTTGGCTTTGTACACAGAAGGCAGAGAAATGTTCTTCATGTACATCTGACAGCTGTACTAACACGTGGTTCCAGGGACAGATCACACTATTCTGGAGCCAGTAGTCAACAGCGAACATCAACTCTGAGAGTTTTGCCAAGAGATATTACAAAAAAGTTTAAGAGTCATTACGCTGTCTCTAGAAGAATGCCCAGAGACCTGCATAACAGCACAGCAGTTAAAACATAACAATTTTTTAAATGCATGATATTAGTAATCTACTGCTGTGTAACAAAGTAGTCTAAACTCAGAGGCCCATGCAGTTCTCTTGCAGGAAGGTCTGAGTGACATATCTCTATGGCCACTACAAAAGTCAAGTTTTGTCAGAGGAGACATTTTGAGCCTGGCAGAAATGCATCAAAATGAGAGCAAATTAAAACCAAGTAAAGCAAATAAATTTTTAATAGCTCAGTTTAATAGCTCAGTTTTGTTGCTTGGAAATCTAGGGGCAATTTAGCTGGAAACATTTGGTTCAGGGTTTCTCACAAGGTTGAAGTAAAGCCGTTGACTGGGATTGCAGTTTTCTCCAAACTCAGCTAGGGAAGGGTCTTACAATGTCAGTCATGTGCTTTCTGTCTGGCCTTATAGCTCTTCTCTCTATAGGATGCCTGAGTGTCCTTACACCAAAGCAACTGGTCCTCCTCTCCCCAGGGCTGCTTATGACAGGGCAGTTGGCTCCTTTCAGAGTGATTGAAAAGAGAGAGAGAGGGCCGGGCACAGTGGCTCACACCTGTAATCCTAGCACTTTGGGAGGCTGAGGTGGGTGAATCACAAGGTCAGGAGTTCGAGACCAGCCTGGCCAATATGGTGAAAACCCATTTCCACTAAAAATACAAAAAAAATAACTAGACATGGTGGCGCATGCCTGTAATCCCAGCTACTCAGGAGGCTGAGGCAGGAGAATCGCTTGAACCCAGGAGGCAGAGATTGCAGTGAGCCGAGATTGCACCACTGCACTCTAGCCTGGGTGACAGAGCAAGACTCTGTCTCAAAAAAAAAAAAAAAAAAAAAAAAGAGAGAAAAGAAAGAGTGCACCCAACACAGAATCCACAATCTTTTTATAACTGTATATTAGAAATGACATCCCATCATTTCTACTCTATTCTACTCACCAGAAGTGAATCACTGAGTGCAGCCTACCTTCAAGGGGAGGGGAATCATTCTCCACCTCATGAGGAAAAGAGAATCAAAGAAGGCATAGACATATTTTCAAAGCCACCACATGTATTGAAAGAAAGGATTCAGTTAGAGAAATAGTAAGCCTAGTGGTGGTCATGCTATGCAAGATCATAGATGAAAAGGAGACAATACAATCTGAACAAATTCTGTTATTCATTCTGAATAAGAAATTAGTGAGATTTCGAACTGTCTGGGTGAGACCACTGTGTTCATGGAACGTATTCCTTTTTACGTCTAGACATAGACTTAATTTCCCCACCTCCTTTACAGAGACTGTAAGACTGAGTTCTAGCCAGCGAAATATGGGGAGAAGAGGTATTGATCTGTGCTAGGCCTTCCCTGTAAAAACTTCTTCCACATCCCCTTTTTTTATCTACTGAGTGGAAATATTAATTGGAGAAAACTTAAGGACCTAGAAAAGAGTAGAGACATTAAAGAAATGAGTAATAGTTCCCAAATTTGCAACAGGAAGTTAGCCTGAGCAGGAATTCTGATTTGAATTAAAACAGGCCCAATTGTCCCATAGAAATTATATGTATGGGTTTTTTGAATAAACAGAAGTTGACCCACCTGGTTTTGAAACTTGAAATTTACATTTGTCTCATCTGAATTCCTCCCTCAGGAAACTGACCCTCAGGCAGGGGACTGAGACTTACCAGATTACGGCATCCAGACACTGAGACACCAGACCCCTTGTTCCTCATGATTTCTTCCTTATCCCTCCTTAATTCCTGTTTTACCTTCTTCCCTGCTATATAAACTGCTCAATATTTTAGTTGGTTGGGAGATGGTTTTGAGACTGATCTACAGTTCTCCTTGGCTGCAGCACCCGATTAAATCCTTCTTCCCTAGGGATACTCATTGTCTTGGTGATTGGCTTTCTGTGCTGCAAGCAACATGACCTAGACTGAACCCCTGGCATTTCAGTAACAGAATGAACATGAGCAAAAATAGCCTTTTGATTGTTTATTGGGGCTTGACGGGTTGTTTATTATAGCAGCTGCCACAACTTATTCTAACCAATTCACTGTCTTTTAAGGGAGGTGGTTCAAAGGTAATAGAGTAAATAATGTTAAGTCTTTAGGATGTTCTAATTATGAATTAATAAGATTATACTTACCTAAAGACTTTTGAAGACATTCAAGAGTAAACTTGCAAAATATTTATTTAATACCTGTACCCTGTGATTGATGAGTATGCTGATTCTTGTATGTTGATGAGTATGCTGATTCAGTAACAGTATGCTGATGCTTGAAGTGTACTATGGGAACTAGACCAGTAATGTATGCTTCTATACAATTATGATATAGAATCCATGATAGAGCATACAATTATTAATCAATGGAACGCATGTAATCTGCATGGCCTTAGGGAGAATCAGCATAATGGATAAGGGTATATGTAGTTTTTGGAGTTAGACCTGAGATCCTATCTGTTCCACCACTTAAAACTTTCATAACCTTACTTTTCTTATGCAACTTGTCTCAGTTTCCTAATCTATAAATTAGGATTATGATAATAATAATTATAATAACAACAATTATAGTATTTACCTAAAATTATAGTGAGGATTAACTGAGATAATATATATCAAATACACAGAAACTTCACATAGTAAGTGCTTGAAAAGTATTAGCCATTATTATTATCATTGTTGTAATTCGTGTTATTTTGGGGAGGGAAATTCATTTTTGCTAGTCTCCAATTGACTGTTTTTTGAGAATAGACAAATAATGTTAGAGATAAGATAGAACTAAAGATTGCAATTTGTTGGAGTTAAAAAGGCCTTTTACTAAGGCTCATGGCAGCAATCTTCTATAGGACCCATGGAAAGATTTTACTGTGATAGGTGAACTCTGTGGCAAACTATAAGAAAAAATAATCCAAAACATATTGGCCAGATGCAAGAATCTGTGAGTTTTCCATCATAAACTAGGAAAAAGGTAATCACTTAGACATCTCTGCCCCTAATATTTTTCCTCTTGAGGCAGCTGCTATCGTGAAGTGCAAATCTTCAGTAATTTGGTAAGAAAGGTGAAGGTAAAAGCTAGAGCCTGGTAAGGCTGACTTGGGTGCCACAACTGGTCCCAGAAAGAGCAACTGGTGGATCCAATGTATTCAGAAGGAATGGACAGCTTAAACATGGGTCATGCAGGTACCACACTGGTGAGAAAGAGCAGTCCATCTTAAAAGGCAATACTGGCTCAAGAAGAAATCAAGGTAATTCTCAAAGTTTTATTGGCAGTATTGTCATTGCAAGAGGTCAGTCCAACAGGCCAGGCCAATGAAGCAAGGTGTTGAGATGCAGGGGCTCTAACCAAGCAGGTGTGGGTCAAACTTTGAGCTGAGGCAGGGTCCAACGTTGAGCTGAGATTGGAAATGATGGAACATCAAGACAGAAGAATAGTTATATTATCTGGGACAGTGATGATGCTTAGAGTAGGGAAGTGGGAATGAATATTAAGAAATGCTCTGCCTGCCTTGCCACACCAGGAACTAGATCAAGTTGGCAAATATCTGTCAGAGCTGAGGGCTATTATTAACTTCTTTCAGAAGCCAGAATTGCCCAAAACCTATAGGTAGGCCTCCTCAATAATGGATATAGCCAAGGAGAGCTGAGAAATGTCAGGACAGAGGAAATGATCACAGATTGACAGTTACTCAAAAAGCTGTAAACAAGTCAAAAAAAGCACACCAAAGTGATAGAAGCTACACTCCACAATGAAGAACTCTCGTGACTTTCTGTGGACTAAATATCCGTTTCGAAATTCAGGAAGCAAAGCCTCCAGAAATTACAAAAAACTTATCAGTAGAAGGGAACTTACTAGGCCTCTCTCAGCTAGTGATAGATCAAAAGATGATATTACAGGCAACATTCTCTGATCAAAATGCAATAAAACTAAAACTAGAAACAAAACTAACCTGTCATCTAGAAATTTAGAAACTCTTAAATAATTCTTGGGTCAAGGAGGAAATCAGAGAGAATTGGTCCCCATGTGGAAAATAGTATCGGACTCTACATGGTACAATAAAAGCAAAGCTCAGTGGAAAATTTATGGTTCTGAATACTGTTTATATAAATAAACAGAAAGATTAAAATAATTGAATTAAGTATGAAACTTAAGAAGTCCAGAGAAAAAGTCATCCAAAAGAAAACAGAATAAAGATAAAACCAGAAAATAATAAGAAAATCCAAAATGATAGAATAAATAAATATATGTAAGAAGGAGTTCTTTAAAAAGGTAGAATAGATTAGATAAAACAATAGCTAATTACAGCACAAATAAAAAAATAAGAAATAAGAATGGAAAAATAACCACAGATGGAAAAGGAAAGAATCTTTAAAAACTACTTTGCTCAACTCTTTGCACATAAATATGAGAACCTAGTTATAATGGATGCTTTTCTAAGAATCTATAAGCTGCTAAAACTAACCTCAGAAGAGATCAAAAGTTTCAAACAACCAATATCCATAAAAGAAATTCAGAAAAATTCAAAAAAACTAGGCCTAGATGTTTTCACAAACGAATTCAACAAAACTTAGAAACAAACAGACCATTTCAATGTCGTTTAAATCCTTGCTACTCAAAGAGTGATTGAGGACCAGCATGTGGGCAGCACCTGGGAGCTAGCGAGAAATGGAGAGTCCTGGGCTACCCTTCAAACCTACTAAAGGAAAATCTAGTTTTAACAAGATTTCTAGGAGATTGTAATTGTATGCACATTAAAGTTTGAGAGAGCTGATTTATACCAGGGCTTGGCAAACTATGGTTCATAGGCCAAATCTAGCTCATCTCTTCTCTTCTTAAATAAAGTTTAATTGGAACACAGTCATACTCATTTATTTGCATACTGTTTATGGCTGCTTTCCCACCATTCCAGTAGAGTTGGGTAGTCAAGACAGTGACCATGGCCGGACAGAGTGGCTCACACCTGTAATATTAGCACTTTGTGAGGCCGAGGTGGGCGGATCACCTGAGGTCAGGAGTTCAAGACCAGCCTGGCCAACGTGGTGAAACCCCATCTCTATTAACATACAAAAAAATTAGCTGAGCATGATGTGGGTGCCTGTAATCCCAGCAACTCAAGAGGCTGAGGCAGGAGAATTGCTTGAACCAGGGAGACGGTGGTTGCAGTGGGCCGAGATCCCGCCACTGTACTCCAGCCTGGGGGACAAGAGTGAAACTCCGTCTCAAAAAAAAAAAAAAAAAGACATCCCACAAAACCTAAAATATTTACTATCTGGCCCTGTAAAGAAAAAATTTACTGACCCTAATTTCTACTGCTCTAGGACATAGGGAAAATAAGAAAAGCTTTCATTTATTTTTATGGTACCAGTTTAACAAAGATTAGGAAAATTATGAAACAGGTTGCAAAGACTTCAGACTTGGCAGATATTTCACAAGCAACAGCAAAATAAGATCACTTTCCCTTATGAATTGCAATGCAAAAATGGAACTCTGTTAAAATAATTCAAAAGAAAAATCATAAGATAATTATAATTCTCTCAAGTATCAAAAAGCACTTGACAAAGTTCAACATCATTCTTGATTTTTAAAAAATTGTTAATAAAATGGGGATAAATGAAAAGACTTCCTCAACATTCTAATAAAATTTATAAATTTCAACCCAAATCTAGCAGCAAGCTTGATGAGGAAATAATAAACGATTTTTTATAAAATTGGGACCATTATTATTCTATGTAGGCAATATTGCAATCCTAAGAAATGCGAGAGAATCAGTTGAAAAAAACTATGCAAGCAATAAGATAATTCAGTAAGGTATATGTATTAGACATCTATTGCTGCTTGACAAATTATCCCCAAATTTGATATTAGCAGCTACTGAAGACAAATCCGTAATAGCTATTTTCCTCAAATTTAGCATCTTCTATAAAGACTGAATATTTATGTTCCCTCAAAAGTCGTATGTTGAAACCTAATCCCCAATGTGATAATGTTTGGAGATGAGGTCTTTAGTAGGTCATGAGGGCAGAGACCTCACGAATGAGATTAGTGCCCTTATAAAAGAGGCCTTAGAGAGCTGCCTTGCCCTCCTGCCACACACATGCTATATGAGGACACAGTGAGAAACTGTCATCTATAAGCCAGGAAATGAGCCCTCAACAGACACTGAATCTGCCAGTGCTTTTGATCTTGCACTTCCCAGCCTCTAGACTGTGAGAAATAAATTTCTGTTGTTTATAATCCACCCAATCTATGGTATTCTGTTATAGCAGCCTGAACAGACTAAGATAGCAGATTAAAACAGGAAATATTTATCATTTTACACAGCTTCTGAGGGTAGGAATCCAGTATCAGCTTAGCTGGGTTGTCTGGCTCAGGGTCCCTCATGAGGCTGCAGCCAAGATGTTGGCCAAGGCCACAGGCATCTGAAGTCTTGATAGGGGCTGGAGGATTCAGATCCAAGATGGCGCACTCACATGGCTATTGGCAGGAGACTTCAGTTTCTCCCTGGCTGTTGGCCTCAGTTCTTTGCCACATGGGCTTCTCCACAGGGCTGCCTGAGTGTCCTCACAACATAGCAGCCAGCGCAAACAAGTGATTCAAGAGAAAGTACAAATAAGCAGGAAGCCAAAATGCCTTTTATGACCTCGTTTATGAAGTGGCACACATCACTCTTGCATTAGAAGGCAAACTCTAAGGATATCCCACACCAAAGGGAAGGAGAATTAAGCTCCACCTCTGGAAAGGAAAAGTATTAAAGAATGTAATAGCATCATGGTACCATATCATATACCATCATGGTATGTGAAACATAATTCATAGACAAAATTAATACAATAGCATTCCTATACAAGGTACTTAAAAATATAATGAGATTAAAAAGAAAAAGAAGTAAAAATGCACAAAAGACATCAACGAGAGGTTCATTTTTTGAAAGAAAGGAAACCTAGGGCTAGGAGCAGTGGCTCACGCCTGTAATCCCAGCACTTTGGGAGGCTGAGGCGGGCAGATCACCTGAGGTCAGGAGTTTGAGACCGGCCTGGCCAACATGGCGAAACCTCGTATCTACTAAATATACAAAAATGAGCCAGGCATCATGGCGGGCACCTGTAATCCCAGCTACTCGGGAGGCCAAGGCAGGAGAATTGCCTGAAAAAAAAAAAAAAAAAAAAAAAGAAAAGAAACAAGGGAAACCTAGGCGGCTAACAAGTGTATGAAAGATGCTCAAACTCATTAATAATTAGGAAAATTTAAATTAAATGAGATACTCTTTTACACACCCTCAAAATGAAAAAATAATAAAGTTTCACAATACAGGTGAAAGACAGGATGAGAAACATAGGAAATTCTTAGGCATAGCTGGCGAGAGTATTTTACCTTCAGAACAGTTTGATACTATCTTGGAAGTTGGATGGTGAATTTCCTCACAACCCTTTAATTCTACTCCCAGAGAAACTCTCTCTCCTGTACCAGGAGATACGAACAAGAACATCCCTACCATCATTGTTTCTTTCTTTCTTTTTCTTTCTTTTTTTTTTTTTTTTTTTTTTTTTGAGACAGAGTTTCCCTCTTTTTGCCTAGGCTGGAGTGCAATGGCCTGATCTTGGCTCACCGCAACCTCTGCCTCCCGGGTTCAAGCTATTCTCCTACCTCAGCCTCCCGAGTAGCTGGGATTATAAGCATACGCCACCACACCTGGCTAATTTTTTTGTATTTTTAGTAGAGATGGGGTTTCTCCATGTTGGTTGGTCAGGCTGGTCTCGAACTCCCGAACTCAGGTGATCCACCCACCTCGGCCTCCCAAAGTGCTGGAATTACAGGCATGAGCCGCCACACCCAGCCCCATCATTGTTTCTAATAGGAAAAAGAGAAAAGAGATACCCTAAATGTCCGTTTCCAGGATGATGGGTAAATAAATTGAGAAGTGCTCCCTCAGCAGGGTGAATTAACTAGGAACATATATATCAGTATGGGTAAATTCTCACAAACACATTGAGCAGCAAAAGCAAGTGGAAGAAGAGCACATTTCCGTAAAGTTTAAAAACACTGAAAACAATTCCACATGCTGCTTAAGAATGCATATCTATGTCGTAGAAATACTTTCAGAAATGTGTAGGAATGATACACACCGAATGTAGATAATGATTATTTCTAGGAGTGAAAGAGGTGAACGTGATAAGAAGAGATAGATGGAACTTTATCACTGATGTTTTGAAGCAAGTCAACTGGTGGGCACATGGACATTTGTTTTGTTATTCCTTATGCCTTTTAAAATGTCATTTCATAATGGAGTTTTTTAAATAAAAGGTAATGGAAGAAAATATCCTATTTAAAATTGCAACAGGGAGGCTGGGTGCCACGGCTCACGCCTGTTAATCCCAACACTTTGGGAGGTTGAAGCGGGCAGATCACTTAAGGCCGGGAGTTCAAGACCAGCCTAGCCAACATGATGAAATCGTGTCTCTACTAAAAATACAAAAAGTAGCTGAGTGTGATGGTACACACCTTTAATCCCAGCTACTGGGAGGTTGAGGCACAAGGATCACTTGAACCCCGGAGGTGTTGGTTGCAGTGAGCTGAGATCACACCACCGCACTCCAGCCTGGGCAACAGAGCAAGATTGTCTTTAAAAAAAATTAAATTAAATTGCAACAGGGAAGAGGCTAAAATACCTAAGCTAAGAAATTAAAATAATCTCAGAAAGGAGAAGTGATTAATTGAAACTCCTTTTTTTTGCATAATAAGTAAAATATAAATAAAATGTAAGGATTAATAAAAACTGGGGAAGGTATTCCCATGTTCCAAAGGGTTAATGTTTTTTATACATACAGAGTTCTTTGTTATAAGTCATCTGAACAATAACTCAGAACAACTACAGACTAAAGTCATGAACTGACAATTTTCAGAAATATAAATAGCATTTACATATATAAGAGAAATACCAGAAAAAAACACAAAGTGATAGATTTGTGGATTAGATTGTCAAAGATGTAAATGTTGGCCAGGGTGTAAGGAGGCAGCCACTCTCGTGTGTTGTTGTCAAACTGTATGGCAGTGTATGTTGTGCAATTGTCTACAGCGAGGAATCTCTAATGATCTATCAAAATGTAAAGAGCTGGCATCCTTCGACCTAGAAATTCCATCCCTAGGAATCTTTCCTGGTGACATATTTGCACATGTGTGAAATGATTTATTATGCCGTTTATAATTGCAAAAAGTTGAAACAAATACTCCTTCGTAGGGGCTTGGTAAAATAATATATAACACATCCACTGAATTGAATATGAGGTAGTGGTCTTAAAGTGGGTCACCTCTCTGTATACACTGAAGAATGATATTCAGGATAAACTGTAGAGCAAAAACTGATAGGAAGAATAAAGTGTATGCTACCATTTGTAGAGCAAAAAAGAAATAGTGTACATATATGCTTGTTTATACATAGAGTATTCCTGGAAGGAGGCAGATAAAACTAGTAATAGTGATTGCCTCCAGTAGTATCATGGCAGCATAGTAGTATGGGAAAACCTTGAATCATGTAATAAACAAAGAGAAACCAACAAAAACGAAGCCTAAAACAAAGAAGTGAAGAAACCTGATCGAATTTAGCACCAAGTTTCAAATTTAAAAATCCACAGTGCCAGCCATTTGAAAATGGCTAGAGGAGTGTTGCTGATGTGCAATTCTGGCCCTAATTACTTTCTTGCTAACCTCTAAACCTTTCTGCTGAAAGGTTCTGCTACACAGCCAGTCAGAGAGAGAGAGGGGGGCAGACAGAAAGAGAGGGATGTGGCTTGTGATCAACATAGCCCCACAAATCCAGTCAGCATCCTGCAACTGCTTACCTGGTGCTTCTGAGTCGCTTCTAATGAGAGATAATGATGTCAAGGTGAGGAGGTCTCAGGTGCGTGTCAGGGAAGGATACCAGTGTAGACCAGCTCAATCTGGATTCATTGCACATTGAACTTTTCTCATTTCCTTCTTTGGCACATTTATAGTCATTAGTGAAGAACGGGGAAGCACTGCAAACACAAGCGTCGGCGAAACAGACTAGGTTCTCTGTGGATGTACCTGGGAACTGGGGGTTTCAATGAAGAGAAATAATGTCTATCCTCAAGAAGATGCCTTAGAGTGAATACCCCTGCATATAAAGGAGGCATGCTTGGAGGGGCAGGGGAGGGGAGGGACGACTGAGAAATCCTGTCCAAAATATGTAGAATTTGTCCAGATGTTGTCTGAAGACTGTGAGGAATGTAAAGTGAGTAAAGTTGGATGAGCTTCATTAGCATATGTGGCTCTGGAAGCATAGGAAAGCTACATGATTTATCATACAGTTAATTGAAATGTTCAACATGGAACCATTCCATCAGAAATGAACATTTGTCGAGCACCTACAATATGCCAGGCACTGTCCTAGGTCTTAGGGATGTGTCAGAGAACAAAACAACATCTTGATCTTCACACTGCCTACATTCTCCTGGCCAGAGAGGGGTGTTGGGGAGAATGGATATGGAGAAAATTGATGACACACAAGTAAATAAGCCTATGACATGCTATTAGGTAATGATCAGAGTCCATTTGCATAGTAACAAAAGAGAAAGACAAGGAGTGGTGTGAGAACAGGGGCTATTTCAGATAAGGTGGTCAGGACAGCCTCTCTGATGAGCTGACATTTGATTAGAGACTTCACTAAAGTTACAAACCAAACCATGAGGGAAATGATATTGCAAAGGCCCTGGGGCTGAAACATGATTTTCCACCACAGAGGTGAAGAAAAACTGTTTACAAAATACTGATCAAAAATTAAGACACAAAATGTATATTTCCTATGATTATGTATGCATAGGTATACATGCATATATAAGTGTTTGCAAGATATATATTTATTATATATTTATATATTTATATTATCTCTTTTTATGTATTGTTGATATATTATTTATGTTGATAATATATAACATATATATAAGTGTTTACACAATAATGATACACATTAAGACACACAATGTATATTTCCTATGATTATATACGCACTGGTGTATATATACACACACACACACACACACACACATATATATATATATATATATATATCAGGAAAGACTACTGAAAAATATAAATCCTTATAGGACTTCAATGAAAAGACAAAAAACTGAGTGTTTCTTAAGAGCAGGCAGTGTCTTCTAATTCTTTGGGTCTGATTCAGCCATGATTGGTATAGGTAGAATCTTCATATCCGATGACTAAATGGATGAATCACTGCAATTATTGTGAAAATGTTTTATTCATCATTTAAAAAAATTAAATGTCTGTTTTTAAAAATTAAGTTTGTGATGACACATTGCATACTCTTCACAGTGGTGGGGTTAACTCAGAGGGATATGACTTTAGCTCAGGGCCAGCCCAAAATACACCGGGGAAAAACACAGAAAGCTAGAATGTATGGATTATCTAATATCTGCTAGATGTTAGATGCTAGTACATCCACTATTGTGGGCAAGCCGCAGAACAGCTCAGGGAGGAAGGTATAGTTATGCCTGTTTTGCAGTTTAGGATGATGAGGCTCAGAGAGGTTCAGTTTCTAGCCCAAGAGCTGAATAGTGAATCTTCTGACCCCACGTTCAGACCTGCTGACCACAACTATGCATGGTCTACTCTGGAAGTCTTCCTTCATGCTCAACTGTGTTTGAATACCACTTCCCAGGACCCAGTACTTTCAGTGATCCTTCATTTTCCCACACCCTCCCAGAGCGGCACCTTGCTGGGAACTGTTCCCTCTGTCCTTCTCATCTATGATTTTAGTGTCAAAAAATAAGCTGACTCCAAAGCTTTGGAGCCATTTACCCTCTTACTAGTGGTGTGACTCTTGGCAGGTTACCTAACCTTTCCTAGTCTCACTTTTGTCATTTCTAAATGGAGATAACTATGTGTTAGAATTGTAGGGCAGAGTCAGTGAGATCATGCAAGACTTTGGACCAGTGTGTGATTATATGGCAGACACTCAATAAATACTGGGTGAATCTATTTGTGGCCGACTTATGTCTGGCTCCTGCTAATGGTTGGCTAACCTGATAAATAAATCCTGGATTAGTCACCAATGATACTAATAATGTAAAATATTGTGCCTCTCCAGTAACATTCACAATTTAACATAATTCAAATTCACTGCTGATGGCATGAAGACCAGTCATGGCCACCAGGGAGGACCTCATTGTCATCCCTTACCTTGCAGTTCACTGGAAGGCAGCCCATTTGTTCAAAACTCATTAGGCTGTGACTTAGGCTCAGAGTAAATCTAACGTGGAGGTTGACTGTCATAAATCAGATGAAAATCTCCTACTCAAAGGAGACCAGTCTGCATATGTAGTCCCCAAATTTAAGGTTCAGAAAAAAAAAAAAAAGAAAAAGAAACTCTTTAGAACATCCTGGAAGTGAGTCAGTCTAGTAAGCCATGTTTTCTGAAATCTAGGATTTATCTTTTCACACGACAATTTTATTTTCTTTATTATCTTGACTGAGCACAAGAGAAGGAAATAGACGTGGAACCTGAAAAGTGGGTACATCAGTTTCCCAGTGCTGCCGTAACAAAGTACTACCAATTGGATGGCTTTAAACAACAGAGATTTCTCATCTAACAGTTGTGGAGGCCCAGAAGTCTGAGATCAAGGTGCCACCAGGACCCTGCTCTCCCTGAGACCCATAGGGGTAATCCTTTCTTGCCTCTTCCTAGCTTCTGTGATGGCTGGCAATCCTTGGCTTGCAGATGCCTTATATTGTTTGGATCTGTGTCCCTGCCCAAATCTTATGTTGAATTATAATCCCCACTGTTGGAGGTGGGGCCTGGAGGGAGGTGATTGGATCATGGGGGTGGTCCCTCATGAATGGTGTAGCCCCAGCCCCTTGGTGCTGCCCCTGGTATCATGAGTCTCATGAGATCTAGTTCCAAAAAACAAAAAAAAAAAAAACAAAAAAAAATCCATGTAGCTTCTCCTCCCACCTCTCTTCCTACTCCCACCATGTTAAACACCTCTCTCCCTTTTTGCCTTCTGCCATGGTTGTAAGTTTCCTGAGGCCTCCCCAGAACCTGAGCACATGACAGCATCAGGCTTCACATACAGCCTGCAGAACTGTGAGCCAATTAAACCTCTTTTCTTTATAAATTACTGAGTCTTAAGTATTTCTTTAGAGCAATATGAGAATGGACTAACAAAATGCCTCACTCTAATCTCTGCCTATGTCACCACACAGCCATCTTCTCCCTGTCTTTGTCTCTGTGTCTCTCCTCTTTTTCATGGACACCAATCACTAAATAAAGGGCCTGACCTACTCCAGTATGACCACATCTTAACTAATTACATCTGCAACAAGCCTATTTCCAAATAGGGTCACATTCTGATGTATTGGGGATTAGGGCTTCAACATATCTTTTGGGGAACACAATTCAATTCATAACAGTGGGTAACCTGTCTTCCTTGGGGCTTAGGGGGTCACAGGGCTGAGACATAGAAAGAATGGTTTTCATTGCAGAGGGCGTGTGCCTCACATTCCGTAGCTGGTGGGAGAATCAGAGGGCCAGAAATTACCTCGCCCCTTCCTTCTCAATATTAAATGCTTGATTTACAGATGCTACAAATCTTGAGCTAGGCTTTCCCATTCAGTTATCTTAGAGCTGTAAGATATATGGAACTTTAGGAGCTGGAGTAAATGACTCTATTCTATTTCCATTTTAAAAGCCAGATTTCAATCCTATGTGTGAGAAAAACATATTAAGTGTGACTTAGCACTGATTATCCTACTTTTGTTAGGTTGAACCATATGAAATTTCCATTTTTAGAGATAGAAAATGGTCAACTGTTGGCAATTTTACATGATTTGACCCATACATTTCATCAGATGCTGTCACGGATGATCCCTTCTTGGCTCTGATTCTTTACATTGGCCCCAAGACTTTGAATTTTAGACTGTGTTCAGTTCCTGCCTTTATATCCAACTGGGGCAACGGTGAGAACTTATACACTCTTACCCTGTCTAGTATCCTTTCATGGGCACATGCTCAGGAAAGAAATAAGTGTTTGGGTATTCCAAAAAATCTGTTTTCGAATTAGCGCTCTATTATTTACTAGGTGTTTGACCTTAGGGGGCCAATTATTTAGACTCCTTTTTGTCTCAAAATCCTTATTTGTAAAATGGGATAGAACTTCACAGCCTTATTGTAAGGATTAAATTATATATGTACATTAATTATAGTTTGTGTAATTATAATGATGTGAAATTATACATTATAATATATTAAATTATATATAATTATATACATATTTTATATATATATGCTAAGCATGCTATCAGCACACAGTAGATATTCAAGAAATTATGATTCCCTACATCCATGACGCCCATGACCTCTACTACAGTCTCTAATAGTCCCAGGAACTGCTCAGAGTTGAACTGAAGCAATGAGAAAACCCACTAATGAAAAGGAACTAGGATTAAACAATGATGGCACAAAAATGGAAGAAATAAATAGACTACCATGTTTGGATTCAACTGCAGACACTAGTCTCAAGGAATATACTTTGAAACTCAGTTAGCTAAATACTACATCATTACGTAATATTTTCTCATCTCACAATGACTAAACTCCATTTGAATTGCATACATAATACGGTCATGTTTACATCAAATGTTATTTTTGGCATAGGAGTTCTCAACTTTTTTTCCATTGAAAATTCATATTGAAATCCCCTGTGTGTATTTTCATGGCACACTCCCTGGAGGCTATTCAGAGACTTCTCTAATTCCTGATAGGCATTTTTTTTTTTCCCCAATAGAAAGCCTATTGGAAGGGTGACATTATAGGGATAATCGCCCCATTTTTTTTTCCAATTCAATAATTATCTACAAACTTTAACAAATCATCCACCAATATTATGCTTGTAACATGCCTGAAACCTGCGTGTGGTACAATACTGAAGTTGAGAATCACTCTTCTAAGACAGGGGTCCCCAACCCCCAGGCTGTGGGCTGGTACTGGTAGGTGGTCTGTTAGGAACTGGGCCGCACAGCAGGAGGTGAGCAGCAGGCCAGCAACTTAGCATTACTGCCTGAACTCAGCCTCTTCTGAGATCAGCAGCAGCATTAGATTCTCATAGGAATGTGAACCCTATTGTGAACTGCACATGTGAGGGATCCAGGTCGCGTGCTCCTCGTGAGAATCTAACTAATGCGTGGTGATCTGAGGTGGAACAGTTTCATCGTTTTCATCCCAAAACCATCCCCAAACCCCTCGCTGTCCATGGAAAAATTGTCTTCCACAAAACAGGTCCCTGGTGCCAAAAACGTTGGGGACCCCTGTTCTAAGACATGCTATTATCATGACCATTCAGAATGGTTAAAGCACTCTGAAGCCACTAGGCATTTCAAATCCAAGTAGACAATCATAATCTCCAACATCTTAGATGTTTCTAGGTGCTCTACCCAGAGTGAATGTACAAAGTCAGGACACATTTTCTCTGCATGCTTATGAACAAATGAATCTATTTCAATGACAGTGCGTTGGCAGGAATGGCACTCCTACCTCCATGTCACAGAGGCGTAGCATTCAGGAATGAGTAAAACCACTCCAGGCTTCCTGTCTTCCAACATATTCTATATGTGTCATATTGCCACTGATATGATCAATTCTATCTAACCACCAGAAGCAGTCTCCCATGCCTTTAGGCTCTTAAGCATTCCATTCAGCTCATCTACACTCCCCTCTGGTCAAAGCCATTCATTACCAATTGTAAGTAATGTGACTATGGGGATGCTACCTGGGGCCACTGGAAACCCGCCATGGTTTACAGCCCTTGGAACAGACTCAGACATTGTAAGTGAAAACTCTTTAAGCCAAACCCAAACCTTTTATAATTGAAATTATAATAAATCACACCTCTTAAATCTTTCTGGAGAAGATTTGGGAAAAGTCTCTTCTTGCTCTTTCACTGCCAGAGAGCTCCTTAATAAGGGAGTGAGATTCAAATTAAAAACAAAACAAAACAAAACAATTTCCACTTCAGCTGTCCTCAGGGCTAATGCAGGGTGTATACGATTTGTGGTCAAGACGTGGAAGCTAGGAATAGGGACAGGTAGAACAGAAGGGCAAGCCAAATTAGAGTATGTTTGATCCCAGCTGTAAAGGCCAATGGCTTCCTATCCAACTCTAAGAAAAAGTCCACACGCTCGAGCATAATATACATATAGGGCCTCTGGGATCTGCCCTACTCCTGATGTGTCCCTCTCCTATAGCACTTACCTCTCTGTATTGCAACTATTTGTTTGCCTTCCCTATTAGACTGTGAGGCCTGTGAGGGCAGAGATCATGACTTAGTCAGTTTTAATCCTTAGTAACTTCAGAAACCCAGTAAATGCAGGGTCAGTTTGCACAATCCTGAAAAAATGAGCAAACTGACTCTGCACTAAAGCTGCCCATAAGCCAAAAGGGCAAAGTCAAGGGAAGTGGACCTCAGATTGCACATAATCGGAAGCACTCAGGGGCATGTCTTTTTATTCTAGCTGGGACTGTAAGCTATTCAGGGAAGGCTATTACAAGCAGTGGCCATGAAACAATAAACTTCATCTCCCCACCCCGACAAATGTATCAGAATCTATGACCCCTTCTAAGTACTCTCCTTGGGAGGCAAAGTGTATATTCTGAAATGGCTATGTTTGCTCAATAAGCCTTTTTTGGAATTGTGATCAGATTCAGTTTATATACCACACAAACCAATCTAATTTCCTTATAGGCACATGTATTTCCAAAGCAATGTTCCCCAACTTGATTGCCCACCATATTCATTGGCCATAGCTTCAGGGCGACTTTTAATAGCTTTCAACAAATCCACCCTCTAAGGATGAAGATGTACCACATTTCAAGATATTTAAGAAAGTACCAACAGTGTCCATGCATAACTTTCCAGAAGAGTTCCAAAAATGCTTTGAGCAATTTCTCAGTATCTTGGGAATCAGCAAAAATCTACTGAGAGGACTGCTTTGCAGGCAATAGTGCTGCTTTGGAATTAGACATTCTCATTCATGTGTTACATAACAATAACAAGCACTTATTAACTGTTTACTATGAACCAACTCTATCCAGCAATGTTTGCGTGTGTGTATTCTCACTGAACCCTCCCAACAATTATATGAAAACAGCAACAACAACAATGGTTGTTTTTGGCATTTACTGAGTGCCCATGATGGGTCAGACAGTGTTAAGGATTATTTCGTTTTAAACCCATTTTACAGACAAAAAAACTGAGGTTTAGAAAAAAGTAAAGAACTTTGCTAAGGTCCCAAAGCCAGTAAGAGAGGAACTAAGATTCATATGCAAATGTATCTGACTTGCTTATAATTACTCTGATTTATGCCTGTGGTAGGCTCTGCACTGTGATGTGACTGCCGGATTTATATATATATTATATATATACGTATATATATAATATATATATTATATATATATTATATATATTATATGGTAGTAGAATGAATATATTACTATATATATTATATGCTAGTAGAATGAATAAACTTATATCAGTGACAGTGGTCCCACCAAGGCAAATAAGAACAACAAGCAAAAGTGATACAAGAGGGTTCAGCTCATCTAATTCCTAAACTACAGCCACGTTCCTGTTCATAGGAGAGAGCAGTGGGCATCAGAGACCAAACCTGGATGTCTCCAAGCCAGCTGCAGCATGGGGCTTTGTGATTTGCTGTTTCACTCCAGTTAAGCCCCTGCAGGGCCCTGAGTCTTAGTCACTCCAGCCAGGCATCAGGAATGGGTACATTCACCTCCCTTCCCCAGCCTTCCCCTATGAATATTTATAAAGCGCTCTAGAATCCTGGTATCCCATAAAAATGCAAAGTACGATTATTATTAATGATACAGTTAGCAAGAAGGACATTTGTTATTTCTACTCAATTGGTTTCCCCCAGGAGCAGAAACAATTTTTTTTGACATAGTATTAATGCGCCGCCTCCGCAACTTTGGTCATCTGTCATCTTCTTTCGGACAAAGTTGAGCCAGTGTCTCAGGCAGCACCCTTCCTTCCCCTTTGCAATATCGGCACTAGCTGAGCCCAAGTGGCTTTATGGTTTAGATGAAACTATGGATCTTTATTTGATTTCTGGTATCAGGAAACAATTTATGAGGATCAAGGCAGTTAGGCTACGCGACTTCCTTTCTTGCCGAGGTAGTCGCTAGTCGCACAGGCAGCCCTGGCTCATAAATCTCGTTTTATTTCCCCATCTATTCACCTGGAACTAAGTGATTTTTTTTAAGGCAAAGGGGAGAACACATTTCCTTATGTAAGCACTCTTCCTCCAGCTCGTAATCACCATTGTTTCTCAGACGAACTAGTGAGCAGCTGAAGCAGGAGCCATTTCCATTTTCGTGCATCACACTTGTATTTTCAGAGTTTACAGAAAAATACTGCAACCAATTTGGGATTTCCCTGTAATGAACCACTTCCTCTAAATAAACCAGAATTGATTCCAATGTGAATTTCAGAGACGAAAGGGCTTTCTGAAAACATCTATTTTCATATGCCCTTCAGAAACTACCTTGCCTTTCTTTTTGCTCCCATCCCCCGCTCCCACCCTCCCTCAAGCCCCCCACCCCGCCTTCCCCTCCTTCTTAAGAAGACTTTCCCAGGTCCCTCTTGGCTGTGGTTGAACGACGTTGGCTCCTGTCCATGCTGCAACAAAGACCTGGCATTCCAGCTGTCTGCGTCTAATCTCCAGTGTCAGCTCTCGTTAATGTGTGAGCGTGAAATCAGAGGGGGCAGAGCTGCACGGAATATTAAAACCATGATCAGAATTCCACTGAAATGCTGAGAGTCTGCAAGCACCATTAGAGGAGGCTGTCAAATCACGGCTTCGCATTAAATAAAAGAAAAGATTTCTATCAGAGGAAAGTACAATCAGTGAATCGCTGAGCTAAATTAGCATTTTTTCAATTGGAGATCGAAGTTGATTTATTGTTCTACACGACATTAATGTAACTATGTGCTTGACCTGCTAAGGCAGCTAATTTTTCATTTAAATGGTTTCTTTCCTTCCCGGTGCAAAGGCTGCAATCATATTTCAACTTTGCAGAGTGATCAGAAAAGTCGTGGAATGCTGCAGAAATGTCTTAGGGCGGCCTTCCTTCCCCTCCCCTCTCTTTCCTTTCCTTTTTCCAACTCCAGCGCCTTCCTCCTCCCCTCCCCTTCCCCCCTAACCTCATGGCTGGTGGTCAAGGTCACAGAGGAAGAGTAATCTCAAAGCCACCGACTTCAAAGCCTCCATCAAAGAAGCCCCTACGTAGCCATTGAATTAAAAGGGAGTGGGGGAGGGTGGGGTCCTGGCACTAGACGTTCCTACCAGCAAGAAAGGACCCTTTAACTGCCCTGCTGGTGTGGCCAAATCTGGGGCGTCCTGGGTCCAGTTTTCTCCTGCAGGCCTCTCAGTATGTGTCTCTTCTCATCCTCCCCATCCCCCTCTCCTCCACACTCACATCGTCTGAAGATAATATACATTTCCAATTAGCAGAGCACATTCTAGTCATGTTCTCTTTTACTGCCCTAACTATCTTCCTTTTGCTAAAAAGCTGGGCTGTCATTAATGAAATCCTGCAGTTCTGTTAATCCGAGATACAATGCTCCTTTCTCTCTCAGTCTCTCCCTAACATAAAAACTACAGTTACTGAAGCTCCCCTCTTCTGTTTGGAGTCCTCGTTGTTTGTCTTTCATTGCATACCTGATGTAGCATAGTAGCAGTCGAAGTTCCCGGACGGATGTAGAAGGAAAAAACACAATTATATTTGTTTCCCAGTGTCCTTGTTTGCAAAGGCAGCTGGCATTTTCTGTTTTTATTTTTTTAAGCACATTGATTTTTAAGCTCTGGAAATTTAGGAATATGTCTTAGGGTAGTTTGGGGGCCTTTGCCTATAGCAAATTTGTTGGATTTAAAACAATTATAGCTGGAAGCCCTGGAAGAACCCTGATAAATTACTTTCCGGCGTTTGTCTGAAATGCCTCTTATGAATTAATGCATTGTATCCATAAGAGAAAGGGCAGGTGGGTGGTGGGCAGTGGTGCTGACATTTGCCACACCTTACCAATATCAGTATGACTTCCAAAGCATAGCGGACATTGGACCAATAGCTGGTACTTATATTTTGGTTTTCTTCTTCCATCCCCAAACATCTACATTCTGAATTACAAATTGGGAACTTTCCTATATTTGGAGGAGGCATGAAGTCAGTGTCAATCCCTTAGATCTGGAGGCCTTGAGAATTTGAGGCTAAGAACGGAATCAGCTGCTACATACCCAGCTAGCCATGGACAGATGAGGTGAAGAATAGCCCCCTACCCCACCCCCGTGGCCTCTAAGACAAGGAAATCACTCGGGCGGGGGCGGGGGGGTGGTCAGTGCAGTGAGGGAAACTTCCCTCTACCTTCATCACAATTGGATCTAATTAGCACCCCTTGGTTGGCCAAGATGCTATGGGGTGATTGGGTCGATGTACTGACCTCTGCTCTGACCCAGTGAAAACGGCTCTACACAGGCCAAAGGTGAGGTTCTTGGCAAGAGACTGTTTAGTTGAATGCTGGAGACAGGCACCAGTTGTCTTCATACCTGCTGCTATGTGGTGGAAGTTGCTTATCTTGCTCATCTTTTACTCCATTTAGAAAGTAACACCATCTCTCCCCCATGTTGACTACCACTCAAAACAACCACTCTAAAAAAGAAGCACGGATTTCATTCTCCAAAGGCAATGAAAGTTTGGTCACTAAATATAGAAAATGCTTCCCCATAAGGCACACTAGTCGTCTGCTTTCCCTTGGGTGATTTCCACTGGGATTCTGTACCAAAAGTCAGTGTTGGTTGATCAGAGTTCCCTCTGTCGCCTGACAATCCACATGCATTAGCCAAGAGGTGGCGTCGCAGCATGATGCTCCCAAATTCTCCATCTGTAGGGCGATCTCATTTGCAAACTCTACTAGAGGGCCTAGATGCAAAGCTCTGTAACTTTCTGCACTCACTATTTCCATGGGCATTTGTTCCCCAAACACAATGCACCTCTCCTTTACATGATAATCTTCTCCTGAGTGTAGTTTCATGGACTTAAGGACTTTCAGATGATTTTGGTCACTTAATTCTCCTGGCACCTGGAAGAGATAATGCAGATGTTTAATCAGTCAGCCCACATGGTCTGCAACATGCTGAGACCTAAACAAGCAACATGAGTCTCAAAGGCTGGAAAGATCCAGTCTGGGAAAAAAAGCATATGTTTGGGATCAGGAAACAAGCCGGGGAACCAATCAAGACAAGGAGGCAGACTCTACAGAAGGTAGCCAAACTGCACCAGGCAGTACAGTCAAAGGGCATGGTTCAGGCTGTTGGAGCTCAGAAGACAATACTCGAAAGTCTGGTGCTTTGATACACCGAATACTTCAAACTAAAGGAGACTGGAAGATCTCAGAAGCAAACTTTCCGATCTTCTCCTGCCCTCCTGTCTCTTGCCCCTCTTTCTCCACCAAAGCGAGTCCTACAAACCAGAATTCCTCTTCCCCAACACAGGTCGTAGAAACTAGAACTTCTCCTCCCCAAAGCAAGCCATAAAACCTACAAAGATCACTCTCTCCCTTCTCCTTTGAAGACCCTCATTCCAGAGGGGTCCCGCCCGACACCCAGGAGGAAAGAATGCTACACAGAAAAACCAGGAAGAATCTGAACACACAGTCCTGGCGGCTGGCCTTCTCCACTCGGTCTCTTACCATTAGAACACAGTTTTTTGGTCACATTTCTACATGGCCGTTTGTTCTTCACTGAACCTAAGCATAAAAATAGTTTTCCCAGGTCTTGGGTCTTCATCCTAAAGGCTCCTGTGTCATGTACAACTTCAATTAAATAAAATTGTTATGCTTTTCTCTGGTTAACCTGTCTTTTGTTATAAAAATGTCAGTCGTGACCCTTATGATGGGTGAGGAAAGGCATCACATAGTTCTCCTCCTACAAAGCAATTCTTAGCACCCAGAGGCATAACCCAGTGGACATTTGAAGGGAAGACAGGACAAAGAATGGAGTCAGGAGCTTAGTCTGTTCAACACAAATGTTCAGCACACAGGAACTACCCCAGAGAAAAGAATGCTGTTGGGGGGTGAGACAAGCAGCTGAGCCCTGTTCCTGCTGGGCTTTGGGGGCAAAAGCCAGTCCTCAGGGAAAATGGAACTGCTGCTAGAATAGGTGTGTGGAAAGACTGAGGAACAGGCCCCAAACTGCAGCCCCGCCTTAGAAGCAGTCCTCATCTGCTTCCTCACCTTAGAAAAGACTCATAATAGTACTAACCCATAAGGCTATTGTAAGGACTGAAAGATTTGATAGCTAGATCTAGATGTGGATGGTGGCAGAGGGGTGGGGGCAATAGATCCTACCTGGAACGCTGGAAGCCACTGTGTAAGTTACTATTGTTTGGCACTATCAAGGCTCCCAGGGCCATCTCAGGTATACCAGATTCCAGATTCAGTGGCCAAGAAGAGCTTCTTTATCTTTTTTAAATTAAAGAATAAAGCAAACATTTATTAAGACTATCATGCATGATGCAAGACACTTCCATATGTTATTTACTTCATTCATTCTCACAACACTCATTGAATCATCACAGAACCCTGAGGTTGGGGGTGGAGGATTACCTCTCCTTTTTAAGTTGAGGAACTAGAAGATTAGGGAGGTTGTATAAATTCTTCCAGGAAAGACACCACCTAATAGTGGTAAAAATATTGAAATTCATGTTCCAAAGTTTAACTCTAAATGACTTACTCGTCATAAATAGTATGAGAGCTTGAAAAATCTATTCCCAGCAGTGGCCTTTTTAAAACTGAGTCTCAAAACATTCTGAATACAAATCTAATTAGAAAGAATCATCAACAGTATGCCACCATAGTCAACTCTAGCTATGAATTAATTCATTTGGAGAATAATAACTAATATTAATAACTAGCATCACTTGAACATGTATTAAGTGCCATACAGTATTCCAAGTAAATGCATGTATGAATACATTATCCTTATACCAATCCTATAAAATATGTTCTATTATTCTTCTCATTTTAAAGACAGGAAAACCTAGACACAAATATGTTAAGTCACTTCTCCAAACGAACATATTCAGTACATGGCAGGGTCAGGATTTGAACCCAGGCAAATCTAGACTTCAAATTACACCTTGTTTTGCCACCATGCTATGCTATCCTGGAGAAGAACACAGCACAATTTCTTATCATTATTCTAGTTTCATAAGGAGTTTTAAGGAAGGCAAATTGGAGCCCTTCAGCTAGCTATATTTGAGCCAGAAGACTCTCAATGCAAAAATTATAAATTTAATTATAAGGCCTCCTTTTGTGAGGTTTAGGCCACTAATATACTTCCTACCTCTGTTAGAACTTTCACAGAACTCAAGAAGAACTTGTCCTGTAAGCTTTGGGAAGGTGGGAAAAATAAGGAGAAATAAGGTGGCAGCAGGCCCTTCTATCAAATACCAACTGTGCAACTTTGGAGTAGAGGCGTTGTGCTGTTGGAGCACGGGACAAAAGAACAATTAATTCTTACTGTGGGGAGGAGTGGTAAAGATGAGAAAAGAAATGCTCTTGGGCTGGCTTTTAAGCTTTGGGAAGGATATCCACAGGCAGAAAGTAGGGTGAAGTACATGCAGAGAGGAAGGAGAAGCATGAACAAAAGCAGAGAAACAATGAACTAGAAGATGGCCTTCTCAAATGGCTTAGCTCATGGTACCTTCTTTAGTGCTTATGTATTCCTGGATCATAGTAGGTATGCAGTAAATGTTGAATGAATTGAATGGATAATGCTTTCAGCATGCATGGATGAGTGAAATCATAGTGCATGTATGTCTAAATCATAGCAAGCAATCCAATGCAACTGAAGGTAATCTCCCAATGCATATATATATATAGATCATGGAGAGTGGTTTAAACAATGAGCAAATCTGGTTCCTGGTGGTCTCTGTCTCCTGTCTCTCGCCATGCCATGGCATAGTTGCGATGTGTGAGAGATTTGTTTGGAGTGGGGGAAGCATATTTTTGTTTGCATTTGCTTAGCACATTGCTGTCGCACATTTTGCTATGAGATGTAAAGTCATCTGCATACACCGGTTGTGCAGTTAGAGAAAAGTCAAAACAAGCGTCAGGAGGGTTGTCAGCCACATGGCCTAGGCAGATTGTCATACTCCTTTGCCCATGAGTGGTGGCACCTTCTCCATCTTCCTCCCCCACTCTCCTCCTTGTCCCTGAATCCATACACCTACGTATGTAACCTTACATTCCAAGGGTCTAATTGTCAATTGCTGAATTATGTAGAAGACATCTATGCAGACCTCAGATCCAATCCTCTAGAATAGCAATGCCTAAACCACTCATACCTGTAATCTCATGGAACAAACTTTGCATCAGCTTCGACTACAAGTAGGTTTGTGTCAAAAACCCTCAGGAAGCCATCCCATCCTGCCTCATAGCATTTCCTGAAAAATGAATTTCACAGTGTGCACAGGCCAAATGACAATATTTTCTTTTTTTATCATCTAGAAATATTTCTCTTCTTTCAAATCCATCTCCATCCCAAGTTACAAAGGAGACAAGCATAATCAGAGCATCAACACCAAGATTATTAATGTCCCAAGGAACATAGGCACATGTTACCGGTAGAAACAGCTGTGATACAGAGAGGATACAGAGGGGGGAAAGCTAATAATCTGCAGTCAGAAAACTGTATTTTGAGTATCCAATCTGTAAACCTTTGGGAAAACCACTTAATTTTTCTGAACTTATCTGTAAAATATCAATAAGGTTGAAGAAAAGAGCATCAATACTCAGACGTTTATTCAACAAATCTTTAGGCAGTGCCTATTTTGTGCCAGAAACTGTATCAGGCTTCACAGCACAGCAGATAACAAAGCAGACTTAGTTCCAACCTTCTTGGAACTTAAAGCCTACAGGAAGAACAGATAAACAACAAGTGTAATGATTGCTATGCAAAAGAAGTATAGATGCTTGGAAGGGTGCATTAGCCAACAGGGAAAAGAACCCATAGGCTCTGTGGCTACCAAAAGCATGGACATTCATGGAAATGAAAACAGCCAAGGATGGCTTGGGTAACACAGATAATGCATGTGAGAGAATGTAGTAAACAGAAAAGAACTGAACAAATGCATTGCAATACAGGTAATATCTTTTGTAAGAGCTCATCTCTGATAGATGCTCCTAGAAGATTAGCAAAGGAGATATAGCATATGCCACATAACAAACTTTTGTTCAACAATGGTGAACAAAAGCCTATATGATGGTGATCCCATAAGACAACAATATCTTATTTCAATGTACCTTTTCTATATTTGGATCTGTTCAGATACACAAATACCACTGTGTTATGATTGCCTGCAATACTCAGTACAAAAACATGCTGCACATGTTTGTGGCTTAGGAGCACAACAGGCTATACTCCAGGTGTGTAGTAGGCTGTACCATCTAGGTTTGCATAAGTACACTCTGATGTTCACGCTGATAAAATCACCTAAAGATGCATTTTTCAGAATATATCCCCATTGTTACATAACATATGACTGTATTTAGAGGCAAGAGGAGCCATTTCTACTTTCCGAGTCTCATCCTATAGGCACTCATCTGTTTTACCAACATTTGAGGCTGGCTCCACAGAAGAATATAGAACAGGAGTGTCCAGCCAACCTACAGAAGTGATAAAGAAGAAAGCTTGCTCAAATGCCCAGTGCCTTCTGTATGCTCCTCGGCAATATTCAGCCCATCTACACCCAAGTTCATGGGTTGGAAGATTCCATTACACACAGATTTTAACCATTACCACATGAAGGTCACGCCATCAAGCACTCATACACGTCCATTTATTTTGCCTTTGTTTTGAAATACTAGACCTGATGAGAATAGCTTTGCTCAAATACTACACACAAGGATGCATCAAAAGCCACACACCAGTAAGTGGTTCAGAAGTTCCCCCTGCCCCAGCACTCTCACAGCCTGCGAAATATAGGCATTGTAGTATTTGACTATCTCTGGGTATTATTGGAAGGAATCATGCCTGGATAGTTATCTAAGTATTTAGCAGTGTTCTTTTCTACTTCCAGAGATTCACAGAAAAGACCTTCAAGGTCTCCTAGCCCATTCAGGAATCTCACCTGCATCAGCCCTAACAGTCAATTTCTACTTGAACACTTCTAATGACTGGGGAGCTTCCCACCTTGTCAAACCACCCACTACACAGTTGAGCTGTTCCACCTGTTAGCTCTTTACACTAATCACCCCACTCGTGAATCTTAGTTCTTCCTTCTGCTAACCCAGAGAATAAATCTGTTTCTTTATTCACCAAGTATTTATTAAGCATTTCTTATGTTCCTGACAAGATTTCATACAAAGACATGTAGGATGTGACTTCTTCAAAAAGTCTACCTTCTAATGGAAAGCACAAAAGCAAGGAGCAGCAAAGATGATGTCATAAAGACCCTAATGATACAAATACTTCCTGATGTGATGGTTCTGAGTAATACTTTGCTCAATTAACTACTAGATGTTGGTACCTGGCATTTGAATGGCCCTTTACATTTACGGTTCACACACTGCATTTACACCTGTTACTTTCAACAACTCTCTAAGCATCTTTAGATTGTCCCAATTTATAAATGAGGAAATAGAAGCTCAATGAAAATAAGTAATAAATCTAAAGTCTCATGGTATGTGGGATACAAAGGAAGTTAACTTTCCACTTCTTTAAACATCAATTCCATTGTTCTTTGAAATAAGGAAATTCCTGAGTGTATCAGTGAAATGCCAGAAAAGTAAACCTGTTTCATAATATTCCCAAAGGCAGATGATGAGATGGGGAATAGCCCAAGAGGACAGGCTGTAGATAGTCCGTAACTGGATAGTGAAGAAAGAACTGCATGCGCCCTTTTCTTTTAAAAACAATTTGAGGACAGACATATCCCAATAATAGTTCCAGAAGTAAGAAGTATCTCTGCCTTTATTTTACAGGTTAAAAAATTGAGGCATTAAAAGGAAAAATGAGTTGTCCAAAGATATTTTCCAGGTTGGAGACAAAGCTCTATCTGCTTCCTGTCAGATCGGAGTGCAACTCAAGTGCAACCTCTTCATTCAGGTGCCCCCAGCACCCACCTACTGGCTATGGCTCACTGGATGGATGTCCTCTCCCACCCAGAGCTGAGTACTCAGTGGAAGCAAAGACACTTATTTAAAATAAAATGAGGCAGTTATCCTTCACACCATGTCACTTTTGATAGCAAGGAAGAACCAGAATGAGTGTGCCTGTCCCTGGCATCCCAGTCACAATCAATTTTTTATATCTTATCTCTGAGATCCAAGACAGAGAACACACAATAGAGTGAGTTAATGCAATCCTTCTCAGACTCTGGCCTACCCCATCTGCCTCCTCCTCCCCTCCTCTGTGTTGCAGCCATGATTCTTTCTCAACAATTCTCGCAAGCACCTTCCTGCTCATTATTTTATTCCAAGTGCCTAGATAAATCCCCAGATGGCTCACTTGCTCTAAACCTATCTACTCCGACATGTCAGGGGATTCCTACCAGAAACAGTTAAGCATTTGCCTAAGAGACTTAGTGGACTATATTTCTTCTGCTCTGCAAAAATGAAGGAAGGAGCTTAATACATACCAGGTCCCTGAGAATCTCACTCAAAGACTATGAATCATAGAGCTTTCCAAAGACTCCTCTGGAGGATCTCTTCCATCCTACCGTATAGTTCTTTAATCAACCAACCGGTTGATAATACATAACTATCTCATGTATAATTGATCTGGGTTTATCCTTTCATTCAACCTCTTGAACACCGTCTATGAGACCGATTATTATCAAAATCCATGGCAACAAATACAGAGCCCCTTCCTTTCATTAAAGGACAAGAGGAAGTATATAGGAAGAGCTTGTACAATTGCTGTATTTTTCTTAGTACATAACATTTGTGGACAGTTGCTCAGAGAGGTCCATAGAAAATGTTGCTTGAGTGATATGGCCAGAACATCCTCCAAGGAAAAGTGAAACTGAAAGAGCATCTAGTTTTCTTCTTCTTAATTATGGTCAACTCTACTTTGGCCCCACAAGTTACTAAACTTAGAAAATCATGACTTTTGTGGACAGCTAGCCCTTGGAGAGCTAAATAGATTGGGTACAGTTGCCCCAGAAAAACACGTGTAATCCTATAAAGCAGTATTTCTTCAACTTGAATAGTATATAGATGTCTTTTTAGAGAAAAACAATTCTAATGAAGCCCCCTGTTGACTTCAATTTTTTTTAGTTTTAATGTTTCTTAAATATATGTAACCATCAAGATAGGTATAAACTCCTTATGCAGATAGCCCTTATGCAGTACAGTCAAAACTAATTTGCAATTTATACACAAACAAAACTAAAAACTTAATATTGTAATTATCACCATTAAAAAATGACCTGTGAGGCCGGGCGCGGTGGCGGGCGCCTGTAGTCCCAGCAACTTGGGAGCTGAGGCAGGAGAATGGTGTGAACCCGGGAGGTGGAGCTTACAGTGAGCCGAGATCATGCCACTGCACTCCAGCCTGGGTGACAGAGTGAGACTCCGTCTCAAAAAAAAACCAAACACACACAAAAAAACAACAAAAAAAAATGAACTGTGAAAGTTCGATAAAAAAGTTATCTCGGCTGGGCGTGGTGGCTCATGCCTGTAATCCCAGCACTTTGGGAGGCTGAGGTGGGCAGATCACGAGGTCAGGAGTTCAAGACCAGCGTGACTAATATGGTGAAACCCTGTCTCCACTAAAAATACAAAAATTAGCCGGGTACAGTGGCGCTTGCCTGTAATCCCAGCTACTCAGGCAGCTGAGGCAGGAGAATCACTTGAACTCGAGAGGCGGAGGTTGCAGTGAGCCGAGATCACGCCACTGCACTCCAGCCTGGGCGACAGAGTGAGATTCCATCTCAAAAAAAAAAAAAAAAAAAAAAAAAAAAAAAAAATGGTAATCTCTTCAATACTCCAAATGCACATATTATTCCCAGGGTTGTTATGCACTTACTTTTGTGTTGAGGTGGCCTCTGCTATCATTGCTGTGCCAATGACTCCCTCCCCTCAGTGCATCTCTTTATGGAAATTATGACAACCCACCATTTCTGCAGCACACTTTGATGTTCTTTGGTCTTCACTGAGGAGCAAATGAATTCTAATTCAGCCCTTTTGCATTAGTGAGACCATTAAAGTGGTACCAGTCGGCCCTAAAGCAAATGCATCTGGGGCATTGAAATCACATGGCAGTATTTTTATGAGAAGGTCTTCCAGTTGCTCCAGAATATTCTCATACATGTCTTAAAGATTATCAAAATGAAAATATAACTTTGCAAATTTCTCATAAAGAGCTTTTGACTTCCCAAGAATAAGTCTCCAGCACCAACCCTTCCCACTCCACTGTAAGATCCCACATAGTCCTGCTTGACAAACACTGCTCCAACATGACCAGGGAACCACCATGGCTTCCATCACCCTACAATAACAGGGTTCCTATACCACTGCCCAAGCAGAGCTGGCTGGCTATGCTGGCATCACAGAAGTATGGAAGATGAAGCAGAAGGCACGGCCGCTCAAACTGAGCAATGTCAAAAGTCTTCCAGATGGGAATCAAGCAGAAACTTACCTGATTTGGAATAGTTTGCACTTGCCACAAATGGCCAAGAGATTATTACAGTCCAACCCTGTGTAGGATGCTTTTATGGGATGTTATAAAAGAGAAAATACACATACACTGGTTAGCCAGAGAGCCTCGATGACATAACGACCTATTTCATCTGTAATTTCAGTGATTATATAAATGATGAATAAAATCCAACTGCAAGTGCTTTTTTATTATCTTCTCAATGGGGCAAGACCTGAAAGCTTGACCCCTGGAACATAATAGGCTTCTTTAGATGTATCCAGAGCTGGGAATCTGGACTTTGACCTGAAGCTCTTAAAGAGAATATTGCTTATCACTCCCCTGGGGATAGAAAGGTTTCCACAATAAGATCATCTTACACTGGAGGTGTCATATAGATAACTCTTAAAATAAAAGGAACCTACCCAATGTTTCTTCTACCAGGGGCAGTTAGGATATCTGATTGGCAGTACTCAGCTATTCACCAAAGGCCTCCTACCTTGAGTAGGATAGAGAAGGAGTGCAGAGGTCAAGCTGTTGATGTTCATGACAAGGTAGCAAGTGATCCTCTCTATATTGAGATCACTGGATGGGACCAGCCCTGAATCATTCTCCCCAAAAATGCTTGAACTCAGATCAAGTTCTTAAAAGCCAGCAAACCAACTTCTGGGCAAGCCACCTAACTATACATTGAATTAGATATCCTCCAGCCCAGATGGCCACAACCTGGGTTCTTCCAAATAGAGTAAGATCTCTGGGTTACACTCTTGATGGTCTAGCATCCTGGGAAAGTACTTTGTCATGCTTGGGTGAGGTGGCTTATGACTCTTGCCTGTTAGGCATTTGTACTTGAAATCAACCTCACTTCTAAAGTTATTTGATTGAACCAAGAAGCTTCTCCTCATTACTTCTGCCCATCTCAGGGCTTGATCTGGGTATAGTAACTCACCAGCCATCCAGATAATTTTGGAGACTATTTCCTATCATTAGATTCAGCTATTCACTGGAGGAGACAGGCAGATCTAAGCAACCCTGTTTGGTAAAAATACGCAGCTGAAAGGAGGAATTTACAGATCTTTAACACCTCTGATGGTAATATACAGTGTCCATTAGAGAGACACCTAATCATCTGCAGCTGTCAAATCCAAACTGCCCTCTTTTAAGAGCCAATTTGTTTTCTTGCCAGATCAATGCTCTTATCTGTAATTGTGTGCACACCAGCATCAGCCAATAACCAGTTAACATGCAATTCAATTTCAGAAGAAAAGAAATGTCTTAATTCAAACATTGTACAACTGTGAAAATGCCCTAAGTGAAATTAATTGAGGCTCAGAGGCTATAACTTATAAATCAGTTTGTCCAACTAGAGCAAAGTGATAGAAGAAAATAATATTGGTTTTGGAATAGAGAGTCAACTTTGCTTGGTCTTTCAATTTTTAACCCTGGTGGTGCTATCATTATTATACTACAATGATGATGGTTGTCAACATTACTGGATCTTAGCTGGCACAGCAACTGGAGCAAGGTTTCAAGTTTACAGTGCTCCTGCAGGTCTTCTGGGCGGAATGATGCTCCTCTTCTTACTCACTACATTCTCCTGTTCTTTTTAGCTGGGTAGCTTTAATCCCAGGATAGATATATCCAGATGCTGATTGTTACATCATTAGAGAATCTATCATTAGATTCTAGCCTTTTATTTGAATGGATGCAAAAAAGATTTCTACTTATTGAGATACTTTTGTGTTGTACAGAGCTTTTGTCCCGATTCACACTTTTCTAATTAGATGAATCTTGTTCCCTATCATACTCCAATGTATTTGCTCATAAAGCAAAATAACCTTGGAAAGTGCTAAGCAAGTGAAACTTTTAAGTTGAGACAACATAGAAAAAAAAAGTAGAAAGCACTTTCTACCACATTCTGACTATTGAACATGTGTGTGGTAGAGAATGACCAGCTGTTCGCCAAGCCTGATTCCTCTTTATCCTGGTCACATAGCTAGACTACACGTATCCCCACCTTCCTTTTTAGTTGGGCATGGCTGTGTGACTGAGCTCTAGCCAGTGGAATCTAAACATAAGTGATGGGCTTCACTCCAATGCTTGTACTTCCAATATCCCTCACGTACCATTCTTCATGTTCTTTCTTCTTCTGTTAGCTCAGTGTAGATGAATAATGACTGTTTGGGAAGCCAAGTGTTGATGATGAAAGAAATCTGGGCCCTGAATCACCCTGTGGAAGACAGCTTTCCATCAATCAGGAACACCTATTTTATGCTTTACCTAAGAAAAAAGTAAATTTCACATATGAGCCATTAATGTAATTTTGGGTTTGTCTGTTATAGCAGCAAGCATGAACAGAAATAATACAATGTGTTCAACTGAGTACAAACAGAATGGAAGATGATATCCTGAGATTCCCAACAGCTTTAGGATATCTTCTGGACAAAATGTATTTGAAAAAGAATATAGCATTTTCTTTTGCTTTGAGATTCAGGTTCCTTATCTGAAAAGAGAAAGAGAATTTTAGACTTTCATAAACCCATATAGTGCTACTATTTTTTTGCTCATGCAACTCAAAGTCATTCTTTTTTTTGAGAGAGAGAGAGAAAATTTAAAACATAGGACCATACAATAAAAAAATTCTTTTTTCTAAATATCATAGAGAAAAATCAGGAGACCAAGTCAATATAGAAAGTAAAATAAATAGGAAATCTATTAGCATAAAACCAACTAGTTACCCATGTGGCTTTAGCATTGCTTTTGAGTTTTTTATTTATGCTATATATACATATAGCATATATATGTATATATGTATATAGCATATATATGTATATATATACATATGCTATATATACATATAGCATAAATAAGCTTGAGTGTGTGTATGTGTATATATAAATAATATATATTATATAACAACACAGTAGATTATGAAGGGAGGAAGAAAGGGAGGGAGGAAGGGAGGAAAAGAGAGAAGAAGAAGGGCAGCTATGATGCTGAAACTCAAGTTGAAACCAAAGCACGGACTTAGTGTTCACTCCATAACTTTCTGTACCCAGTCAACTCTGATAGAATGTGACCCCACCTGTTAATGGGAAGAGCTATTACTGTTTGGTTTATGCTTGCCGCAACAACAAATGAATCTCACATGTACATAGACACATGTGCAGTCTCACACAAGCACACTTACAGACAACAGGTCATAATTCCCCTTCAGCATTAATTCCAAGAATTGCTACACTGTTAAATTCTGTCTTCCAAAGAAACTTAACTTTCATATGTAAATAATTCAGCATTACCTCTCTTCCTATGAGGGTGAAAAAAAATTTCTATAACACAGCTTCTAATTAATCCTCAGTATGAAATGTAACTTTACATTAAATGTTTAAAACATTCCTGGACATACCTTAATCCTTTCTCTAACCGAGAAAGGTCTTATAAAATTGACTGCCATTTATCAACCCGATAGAGCTGAAACCCACAATTTAACAAAATTGTTATCAGAAGCGGCTCCCCTGGTTGGCACGACACCACAAAGGTGCATGAAATTCCACACACCCAACACTTTGAGTTAAAAGCACAGTAATTCCATGAAGTTTTTTGTTCCGAGTTGAGAGAATGATTCTGTAATGACTAACACTTCTTCAGATTTATCAGTGTAACATTATGTTAAGTATTTCATAAATGGATCCTTTTTAAAAAAAATTCTCGTGAGAAAATTTTAAGGGAAGTTTAAGGTTGTTTTGTGGATCTCTTCTTGAAATTTTTATTACTAAAATTCAATTTTAATATATTAAAATTAAAAAGATTTAAAGAAAACTTTATGGAGAAATGACCTCCCTAAAGATGGCTCTGTAGCCAAAGGAGTTTCAGGGAATAAAAGGCTCTCCTACTTAGCCCATTAGACATTAAGCATATTCAGATTTCAAGCACGGTCTGGTCATGGAAGTGGAGAATGAAGATGTAGTAGGATTTGCCACACCTACTCTGACTCTCAAATGTCAGTTCTTTTCTCCTGGCACTCTTATATGGATGAGAATGGCTGTAGCTCCCAGGAGGTTGGCCAGTCACTGGCTCCCAGGCACTCTCTGTTGAGCAGTTTAATCAGACACATCAGAACAAGTCTAACCTCAGAGGGAAAGGGGCCAAGTCTGCATTCTGGACATGGTCTGGGCTCAAATCAAAGAGAACCGAGTGTGGATAACCTTTGTGACATTTCTTCCCATTTGTCTCTGTTTCATCTCTGCATATTTCAGAAAGTATTGAAACAAATCCTGTTGGGGGTGGAGAGGGTATCAGCTAAAAATTATAAAATAAGAATTGAAAAGCAGAATGAAAGGCCACACAAATAAGCTAGCCATAACATGGAGGCTATGACAGTCATGTTTGATCCTGGGAAAAATAAAACAATCACGAATATTGTTCTTTTCATTCATGCTTTTTGCCCAACTGAGGTTCTTGCAACTTTAGAAAATGAAGAAAAGTGTAAAGATAATTTCAAAATATTTTGTAATCTCATGACAGAGATTTACAACTGTTAATATTTCAGTGTGTTTCCTCCTAGCTTTTCTCTTTGTCTCACTGCAAATAGATTATATAATGAACATTCTCCCATGTCATTACTCTATGCAAACACTATTTGTCCTGTTCTTATGTGGAAATATCACAATTTTTTCATCCCACCTGCTTATTGTAGGACATTTTGTTTGCTTCTAATATTTTGCTATTATAAATAAATTAATGATGAATAGTTTATCCAAAATATTCTTAAGTGATTCTTATAATTTTCTGAGGACATGTTCTTACAAGTGGAATTATCAGGCCAAGTGGCAGAAACTTCTCTATTGTTCTTGATAACTATTGACAAATCTCTTTCTAGAAAGTCAGTACCTTTCCATTGTAACAAATAATGCATGAAAGTAATTTTCTAAAATTCTTTTCAAAATGAAGTGTGAGTATTTTGAACACTTTCACAGGTGTAAATAGTATTTCATTATTTGATTTTCTTTTAATTCTAATAAAATGGAATAAGCATTTGATTTCCTCTTTGGAGAACACCCTATTTACATGTTTTCCCAGTTTATGTTTAGATTTTCATATGTTTAATTTTTTTATATTTTATTGATTGGTTTTTCTGTTTGAACATAGGCTTTTCATGTTTTTTAAATATTTATTTGTTTGTTTGTTTGTTTGTTTATTTATTGAGACAGAGTTTCGCTCCTGTTGCCCAGGCTGGAGTGCAATGGTACGATCTCGGCTCACTGCCACCCCCGACTCCCAGGTTGAAGCGATTCTCCTGCCTCAGCCTCCCAAGTAGCTGGGATTACAGGTGCGGGCCACCATGCCCAGCTAAGTTTTGTATTTTTAGTAGAGGCGGAGTTTCTCCATGTTGGTCAGGCTGGTCTCAAACTCTCGACCTCAGGTGATCTGCCCACCTTGGCCTCCCAAAGTGCTCGGATTACAGGCATGAGCCACCACGCCTGGCCTATTTTCATTATATTCTTATGTTTATTATATTCTTATGTTCTTATAAATCTATTACATTTTTATCTATCTTAGTTTTATCCATTATATTTTCTAAATATTTACAGTAGAAAAGTAATTGAATATCATATATGTACTTTGTAATCCACCACTTGATTTAACACTAATTCATTCTGATATTTTTTTCAGTTCACTATTATTGTCTACTAGAGATTCTGAAAATAAAGTATCAAGCATTCTGAAAATTGTGAATATTTAGTTTATCCCTTGCAAATAATTTAACTTCTTGATTCCGTTTCATATGTAAGCATCTTTTCTCCCACCTCCACCAGTTTTATTAATGAGCTTGATAATTATAATTCATTTAAGATATAAACTTTTGTTCATATTAAGAAAGAATATTGCTTGTCCTACTTCACTGTAATTTACTTTTTCAATACTAGATACTAAATTCTATCACAACTATTGACATAATCATGTGGCCTTTCTTCATTTTGACTTACTGAGAGACACAGTACTTTAATAAATGTGAATTATTTTATTCAAGAATATATTCTTCTATGTCAAAAGGGGTTTGCTTTTGTTTTTCTTTTTACCATGCCTTTATGAGTGTCTTATTTTAACTTTTTGTATCCACATTCTTAAATAAGGCTATTCCACAGTATTGTTGTGTGCATTATAGAAAAGGTTTTCTTATCAGTCTTATATTATCTTAGTAAATGAGTTCAGACATGTTGAATATTTTTCTCTATTATGGAAATGTTTACATTTTACATTACTTTCAATGTTTAAAAAACTCATCAGTGAAACTGTCTAATTTTTTATCCGATAAAATAATTCTATAATGATTCTTTGAAAATGTTGGTCATATTATTTCTTTGGCTCAAAATTTCCAATTCTTTTTTTTTTTTTTTCCTTTTCAACTTTTATTTTAGGTTCAAGGGGTACATGTTCAGGTTTGTTACACAGGTAAATTCTGTGTCATGTAAGTTTGGTGTACAGATTATTTCATCACCCAAGTAATCAGCATAGCCCCAATAGGCAGTTTTTCAAGCCTTACACTCTCCCTACCCTTCACCCTCAAATATGCCCCAGTGTTTATTATTTCCTTCTTTGTGTCCATGTGTTCTCAATGTTTAGCTTCTACTTACAAGTGAGAACATGCAGTGTTTGTTTTCTGTTCCTGCATTCATTAATTAATTATCTTAAGATAATGGCCTCCAACTCCATCCATGTTGCTGCAAAGGCCAGGATCTCTTTTTTTTTTTTTGAGTCAGGATCTCATTTTTTTTTTTTTTTTTTTTTTTTTTTGAGTCGGAGTCTTGCTCTGTTGCCCAGGCTGGAGTGCAGTGGCATGATCTCGGCTCACTGCAAGCTCCGCCTCCCGGGTTCACGCCATTCTCCTGCCTCAGCCTCGCAAGTAGCTGGGACTACAGGCACCTGCCACCACGCCCAGCTAATTTTTTGTACTTTTAGTAGAGACGGGGTTTCACTGTGTGACCTCATTTTCTATAGCTGTGTGGTAGTCCATGGTGTATATGGACCACATTTTCTTTATCCACTCCACTGTTAATGAGTATCTAGGTTGATTTTGTCTTTGCTATTATCCAAATTGCTGCAATGAACATACGTGTGCATGTGTCTTTATGGTAGAATAATCTATATTCCTTTGGGTATATATCCAGTAATGGGATTACCAGGTCAAATGGTAATTCTATTTTAAGTTCTTTGAGAACTCTCCAGACTACTTTCCACAATGGCTGTATCCATTTCTTCTTGAATCAACTTTGGTAATTTGTAAATTCCCTAGAGATTTATCTTTTTATTATGTTTTACAAAGTAGCAGGAAGTTTCATATAACATTTTCATTAACATTATGTACATTAACACTTTGTTATTCATTTGTTTTAAATATGATGTGTTTTTTCTTTATTTTCTTGTTAAAATTTCTCTTAATTTTCTATGTTAGAGGATTTACATATTACTCCTACTGATTTTTTTTTTCTGTTTCAAATTCATTTATTTCTGTTGCTATCTTTACTATTTTCTTTGCTATTTTATTCCTCTGCCTTCCTTGGGTTAATTTCATTTTTCTAACTATTTGACATGAATAATTATCTATTCTTAACAACTAAATGATGTTAGGCTATCAATTTGTTTCTAATTAGAACTTTGGCTATATTCTACAAGTTTTGGTCAACAATTTTCATTGTGATCACATTATAAATATACTGTGACTATAATTTTGACTTTTTTCTTTGATATACTCATTCAAGAATGGTTTAGCATGCTTTTGTGAACCATCTTCCTCTAAGCACACATACCTTCTTCCTCTAAGCACACATACATTGCTCACACACCTTCTTCCTCTAAGCACACATACATTGCTCACACACCTTCTTCCTCTAAGCACACATACATTGCTCACACACCTTCTTCCTCTAAGCACACATACATTGCTCACACACCTTCTTCCTCTAAGCACACATACATTGCTCACACACCTTCTGCCTCTAAACACACATACATTGCTCACACTTCTTAGTTTTTGTTAATATGATCTAAAAGTTAAAAATGTTTTTCAAGGACTATTTAAAAAATAATTCTTACCATCTGTCTTCAATTTTATATCCAAATTTATCACAAATGACCATATTAAACTCTGTGTTTTACCAGCTAAACACTTAAACACAAACAACAGTGGTTTTAGTTTTTGAAACTATTCTAGATCCCATCACATTTTATAAATTAATCTTTTATAAATTAATTTTTAATAATTTTTAAAATTATTAAATTTTATCTCAGTGCTATTTGGTACTGTGAGCTAAACCATCAGATTTGATAGCATTAAATTAATGTGTCCAGGAGACAAACCTGAAGTGATATCCTCTAGAAATTCTCCCTATAAGCACAAAGGCTATTAAATTGGCATGGTGTTTGCAAATACAAGTTTACCATCCTCCACACAGTTTCTCCTTCCTCAAGTTAATGCCTACTTTTCCTTCAAAACTTAGCAAGACAATAGACTCCACTGGAGTTTATCCTCCATAAAGTCATCCTGAATTTCCAGTTGTCTTTAACTTTCCCTCAGGACTTCCAAGACCATCCTGTACATATCATAATTCCACTGTGTGTGCTGTTGACTTTATATGACTTCTCCTTTCCTAAACATTTTGAGGGCAGTGCCTAGCTTATTGCAGGACAATTTGTAAATGGTTAATGCACGTTTTGTTAAATGAGTGGAACTAATCAAAGGGTGACTTGTTCAATCAATCAATCATCTTGAATGGGCAGTAACTTCGATCTATTCATCCCTCTGCTTTGATTGGCTCTTCAGTCCTACAGCTGCAAAGAGGAAAAGTTGGAATGAGCTTCCCCTGTGAAGTGAAAATGAAACCTTCTTATGAAGTCAGGATGAGATCTCTTTATGAAGTTAGAGAAGAAAGCTGGGCTCCAAGGGAGTGGACCCATACTATATTAGCAGATGATTCACTCTTTCACTATAGGGACAACGGGCATAAGAATATTGTGGCTTTCTGGGAGCTTCCTCACTTGGCCCCATCTGTTATTGGTTTGCTCTTTCCCATTATTTCCCACAGTGGCAGTTTCCTGCAACATACTCAGATAGGAAGAGCCACCTCATCTTCAAGACTGGTCTCACGTTCCAGCTCCTCCTTATAGCCTGCCCTGGCTGCAGAGGGAGTGAATCCCTCCACCTCTGAACTTCTTTGCTACATGATGATCATAGCAGCCATTTGGCTTCTAACACTCACTGCTTTCTGCTAATTTTTTTGTCATTAATAGAGTTGGAGATCTTTGAGGGTGAATGGAAAACTACATTTGCACTTCCCGAAGTTTCTAGCAAAATACCTCGCACATTGCATGTACTGAATGAGCATGCTAATGCATATATGTGTATACAGTCACATGAGAGTGTGTGTGTAAAATTATACACTGCACAAATACCCATTTCAATACCTTCCTTCCAAAACAAAATCAGAAAAAGGGGAATGTGAGAAATTTGTGTAGGGAGGGTGAGGTGATCCCAACTCAAAACTTTCTCAGAATATCTTCAATCTCACTTTTTTTCCTCTTTGCTCTAATTTCCAGAAATAACTTTCTGAAAATTTTGCCCCTCCTCTTTCAGAAAAGATAAAATAGTTATTATTTACTATTCCTGTGTTTCTTCACATTAAGATGGAAATACTTCTGGATCCTCAAGAAATCTTAAAACATCCACCAGGTTCATTCCAAAATCATCACCAATAATCAAGAAATGCCCTCAGATATGAGCATGAATCCACACCCACATACACAATCTCCAAGTACGTATACACATATATATGCAAAGCTGTGCCTGGAACCAAGAGATAAATGCATAAAGCCAAGTACACACAGGTACCCACACACACAGATGCGCATTCTCCTCACTGGCTTGGGAGGACCCTCGCTGAGAGGGTGAGGATGGAACTTGGGGGCTCTTGGAGCACAGTCAGTTTCCAATGGCAGCTGTCATCAAGCACTGGTCCAGGCAGGCAGAGGGACCATGTGGCTGAATTTCAAGGTAATTAATAATGTAAAAGGGAACCCTGGGTGCCACTGGGCACTTAGCAGCATGTGCACAATTCTCCCAGCAGATATCCAAGTGGGCATGAGGCCAACCATCTTCCCACCCCTGCTTCCTTTGGCAAGTGAGGCTCAACCTGCTCTGGGGAACGGGAATGTAGGAGCAGTGGTGGCGAGGAAGACTCACATTAGGCGGCCAACACATTTTGCTCTCCATGCAGTAGTATCAGTTACATGCTGTTCCATCCCCTTAAACTGTCAGCTCTTCTTAACAGCCTATTGGGATAGTTCACTCCCTACCCAGCCAGATTGTCTGCATCAACAGTTGTAAGGGAGATATTACCAGCAGCAGTAGCCTCCTGACTTCTCACGTCATGGGGGAGTCAGCTTGCTCTTCCAATGAAGGCTTTTCCTCCTCATCTTCACCCATCTTCTATTATTTTGGCTCCTCAATTTTTGGTTGGGTTTCATTGTCACATGGCTATTCACCAGCGTCAGCGAACAGCAACATTTGGAAGTAAAGGATTTTACCTCCTCTTAATGTCCCCTGTTTCTCATCTTAACTCAATAATACCTTTAATAAGAATTAATAAATATATCACTGATGGTAGAATGTTAGGTCTTATGATAACAGGATAGGAAAAAAGTTGTTTAAAGAGGTCCTTTTGGAACTACTTGATTATTTATAGGGTTGACTGTAATGTGTTTATTTCTTCTTCCAGCACTGCCTCCTTAGCACCGCCTTGGTCCTGTTTTCCTCTGAATATGCACCAGTGGTTATAAGGTTATTTCAACATCAGTGCTTATACAGGTGAATCAATGGCAAAGATATTCCCCTCTTCTTGTTTTTCTTTGGAACGAATGTTCCAAGGCGGGCATGTGAAAGTTAAGATCCTTAGCTTAGCAAAAGAGACCTTTCAGTATTAGCTCCTGTCTACCTCTTTAGCTTCAATCTCAATCACTTACATTATACTTCAGCTATGCCAAGTTCCTTGCAATTCACTGAATGTGCCAGTCTCTGTCATGCCTCTATGGCTTTCTACTTGCCATTTCTATCACCCAGCATGGCCTTTGTTGAGTCTCCCATGGCACCCTGTGCACTAATTTCTCATAGCACTGGGCTACAGGAACACAAAGAGGACAACCAGCTGGCTGGGGGAATGTTTTAAGACTTCTCTGTGGGCAAGACAAGGAGTTCACTATGACTTGAGTGTGAAAAAAAGTTTCACAGAAACAGAGAAGGAAGTGGGAAGTGGCAGGAAATGGGTGGGCTAACACTTACCTTGTTGTCTGCTCTCTCCGTTAGGATTATATTGACGGCAAGTGGGAAAACAAATTGCAGTGGCTTATGTACAGTAGTTTATTTCTCTCTCAAATGCAAATTAGCCCAGGCAGGAAGTCCAGGGTTAATAGGGTGGTTCTATTCCAACAAAGCTCCTGGCTCCTTTCAGTTCATAACGCCACTCTTGTCTTCATGTCTTATGGTCCCAGATGACAGCATCCTCATTCCAGGACTGCATCCTTCATATGGACTTCTAACTTGTCTCCCTACGTTTTATAAACCACCACAGTCATCAATTCTACCTCTTTTCATGTATTTTCACCAACACTGTCATCATACCATTCCAAGCAACCACCATGTCTGACTTGACTCTTGTCACTGCTCTGATCTTTTCTTTGAGGACTGGTGCAATTTTACAGGAGAAATAAAAATATAATGTGATGGTTGCTTTATTAGAAGTAAGGGAAAATTACAAAAGAAATGTAGAAGAGGGAGAAATTACTTTTTTTTTTTTTTTTTTTTTTTTGAGACGGAGTCCCGCTCTTTAGCCTAGGCCAGATTGCAGTGGCACAATCTCGGCTCACTGCAAGCTCCGCCTCCCAGGTTCACGCCATTCTCCTGCCTCAGCCTCCCAAGTAGCTGGGATTACAGGCACCCGCCACCACGCCCAGCTAACTTTTGTATTTTTTAGTAGAGAAGGGGTTTCGCCATGTTAGCCAGGCTGATCTCAAACTCCTGGCCTCAAGTGATTTACTCACCTCAGCCTGCCAAAGTGTTGGAATTACAGGTGTGAGCCACTGTGCCAGGCCTAAAATATCTTTAAATATAAATATCTACTAGCAAGGGACACTAAGCAAAAGAAACTGCATAAGCAAAAGTAGCAAAAGTATAATATGTTCCAAAATAAAAGTAGTCAAACTGAGTAGTATATGATATAGGCTGTATATTAGTTTGCTAGAACTGCCATAACAAAATGCCATAGACTGTGTGGCTTAAACAACGGAAATTTATTTTCCTGTAAATCTGGAAGCTGGAAGTCCAAGATCAAGGTGTCATCAGGGTTGGTTTCTTGTACAGCCTCTCTCCTTGGTATGTAGGTGGCTGTCTTCTCCCTGTGACTTCACATGGTCTTCTCTCTGTATGTGTCTATGTCCACAACTCTTCTTCCTATAAGGACACCAGTCATATTAGATTGGGACCACACTGATGACCTCGTTTTAACTGAATTACCTCTTTGAAGACCCTGTCTCCAAATACAGTGACATTCTGAAGTATCGGAGGTTAGGATTTCAACGTGTGTATTTTGGGAAGACACAATTCAGCCCCAAATAGGCCATTATATTTCAGGATCTTGGAAGAAATAGGTTAGAAAGATAGGTACAAATCAGATCGTAAAGAGCCTTGAAGGTTGGAGTAAGGAGTATGGACTTTTTCCTAAACTAATGGACAACAGAAGGGTTTTCAGCAAGAGTGGGCTTTGATCAATAAACATACGTGTGCATGTCTTTATAGCAGCATGATTTATAGTCCTTTGGGTATATACCCAGTAACGGGATGGCTGGGTCAAATGGTATTTCTAGTTCTAGATCCCTGAGGAATCGCCACACTGACTTCCACAAGGGTTGAACTAGTTTACAGTCCCACCAACAGTGTAAAAGTGTTCCTATTTCTCCACATCCTCTCCAGCACCTGTTGTTTCCTGACTTTTTAACGATCGCCATTCTAACTGGTGTGAGATGGTATCTCATTGTGGTTTTGATTTGCATTTCTCTGATGGACAGTGATGGTGAGCATTTTTTCATGTGTTTTTTGGCTGCATAAATGTCTTCTTTTGAGAAGTGTCTGTTCATGTCCTTCGCCCACTTTTTGATGGGGTTGTTTGTTTTTTTCTTGTAAATTTGTTTGAGTTCATTGTAGATTCTGGATATTAGCCCTTTGTCAGATGAGTAGGTTGCGAAAATTTTCTCCCATTTTGTAGGTTGCCTGTTCACTCTGATGGAAGTTTCTTTTGCTGTGCAGAAGCTCTTGAGTTTAATTAGATTCCATTTGTCAATTTTGGCTTTTGTTGCCATTGATCAGATGCATGTCTAAGAGGACTGTGTGAGGTCCATAGCCAGGACCAAGCAGAGCCTGGAGGTATTAAGGTCATTCAGGAGTCTATTGCAGTGAGACAAGAGAAAGACAAGGAAGGTCAGAGATCACAAATTTGAGAGACATTTTGTTCATAGAATTGAGAGGATGTGGATAGGAAACCTGCAGACTATCAGGTTTCTGGCCTGGTTGGCTGAGGAAGGTGTCAGAAATGAAAATCAAGAACACATGTTGAATTTGAGGTATTTAATAGTACAGAATATCTAGGTGAATCATTCAGGAAACATGCATCTACAATCGAGGAGCTGGGTGCAGTGGCTCATGCCTGTAATCCCAGCACTTTGGGAGGCTGAGGCAGGTGGATCATCTGAGGTCAGGAGTTTGAGACCAGCATGGCCAATATGGTAAAACCACGACTCTACTAAAAATACAAAAATTAGCCAGGTGTGATGGCATGTGCCTGTAACCCCAGCTACCTGGGAGGCTGAGGCAGAGAATCACTTGACTCCAGGAGGCAGAGGTTGCCGTGAGCCGAGATCGTGCCACTGCATTCCAGCCTGGGTGACACAGTGAAACTGTCTCAAAAAAAAAAAAAAAAAAAAAAAAATCCAGGAGGGAAAACTAAGTTGAAAATATAGCACACAAATGATAGTTGAGGTCAGAGTTGAGGCCAGCCTGGGAGCATAGGCCAAGAAAAAAAAGATATGCAAAAGAGCGTCCAGGTGTGTTGGCTCATGCCTGTAATCCCAGTACTTTAGGAGGCTGAGGAGGGCAGATCACGAGGTCAGGAGTTCAAGGCCACCATGGCCAACATAGTGAAACCCCCATATCTACTAAAAATACAAAAATTAGACTGACATGGTGGCACGTGCCTGTAGTCCCAGCTACTCAGGAGGCTGACGCAGAAGAATCACTTGTACCAGGGAGGCGAGGTTGTGGTGAGCTGAGATTGTGCCACTGCACTCTAGCCTGGGCAACAGAGCAAGACTCCGCCTCAAAAAAAAAAAAAAAGGTATTCAAAAGAGGAACCGGAGAGAAGTGCAGCACTTAAGGGGTGGGTGGAAGGGAAGACAAGTCAGAGACAGAGGGGGAAAAACAGAAAAGAGCCGTGCCACAAAAAGAACAGAAATCAGCTTCAAAAAAGAGGAAGGCACAAGGTCAATCAAAAAAGCAGAGTAAGAATTTAAGAGAGACTGCTGAAGTTGGCCTCCAAAAGAGAAGTTTTAGTGGAAGAGTAGAGACAGGAGCCTGACTGCAGCAGGTCTGGGAGTGAGGGGAGGTTTCATGGTGGGAAGATGAAATGTAGACCATTTCTGGAAGCCTGGCTGTAAAAAGAGGAAGGAGCTAGGAGGTGTTGAGGGGAAGTTTTTGGTTACTGTCCCAGTCTGGTTTTCATACCCACAGATTTCCAGATGAAAATCTCCATTCTACACCTTGTACCAGAATGACAAGCTGTGCAGAACATTTCACTATTTTGCTCCATAGCTCTGCTTCATGCCCCTACAGTGGAGTGTTCATACTTCTGTCTCAGGATCTACATGTTATTTGTTTGTTTGTTTGTTTGTTTTTGAGACAGAGTTTCTCTCTTGTTGCCCAGGCTGGAGTGCAATGGTACAATCTCGGCTCACTGCAACCTCCGCCTCTTGGGTTCAAGCGATTCTTCTGCCTCGGCCTCCCAAGTAGCTGGGATTACAGATGTGTGCCACCACACCCAGCTAATTTTTTGTATTTAGTAGAGATGGGGTTTCACCGTGTTGGTCAGGCTGGTCTCAAACTCCTGACTTCAGGTGATCCACCCACCTCAGCCTCCCAAAGTGCTAGGATTACAGGTGTGAGCCACTGTGCCCAGCCTGAATCTATACACACGGTTCTTGTTCACAGCCTTGTCCTTCAGTGTTATATCATAAACCCCTCAAGGGCAGGAATCACATCTCATTCATCTTTATACTTCCTACATTGTATGTTTAAAAGTGTATAGAGAAGGAAAGAATAAAGGGAGGGAGGAATAAAAGAGTTACTACTGAGAATTTATCCTGGGCAAAGTGTTATGCTAAGTATTTTTCTTAATCTAATCTTTATACCAAACCTGTGATAGAGTAACTATTATTATCTCCATTTCACAGCTGAAGAAACTGAGGCCCTGATATAATAAAGTGACCTGCCTGAGGCCATGTAGTTAGTAAACAGCTGAGTGTGCATCTGAACTCAGGCATTCAGAATCAAAAGTCCATAGTCTTAGCTGTGTAAAAATCAACTCCATTATTGTAACAATTTTATGTGTCAATCTGATTGGGCCTCAAGGTGCTCAGTTGGATATTTGGTCAAACATTATTCTGGATGTGTCTGTGCAGATGTTTTTGGATGAAGTTAACACTTGATTCCCTAGAATAAGTAAAGCAGATAGTCCTCCCTAAAGCAGATGTGTCTCATTCAATCAGTTGAGGCCTGGATTGATCAAAAGGCTGACTCTCTCATGAGTAAGATGCAATTGCCCCTGCATGAGCTTTGAGCTGGGGCATTAGTCTTCCCTGACCTTCAGGCTCAAACTGAAATATTGACTTTTATGGGGTCTTGAGCCCACGGCTTTTAGGATGCAGCTTATACCATTAGCTATCCTGGGTCTCAGGACTTGGGACTAAGACTGGACTACACATTGTCTCTCCTGGGTCTCCAGCTTACCAACTGCAGATCTGAGGACTTGTCAGCCTGCATAATCATGTGAGTCAATTTTGTATAATAAATCTATTTCTCTATATACATCCTGCTCTCTAGGGAACCCTTACTAATGCAAGTATTTTGAAAATTTGACCTATATGACAGGATATACTGGAAATAGTTTGAAATATTTATTTCCTAAAAGAAAAAGAGCAAAAGCCAAGAAGAGTTACATTTGATCTGCTGAATTGCACTTCAACTGCCTTACATGGTGCAAAACAGAACATATGATCATCCCATCACTCCTGTGCCGTCGGGTTATGTTCAGCTGTCAGGTTTGTTGGTTTCCTAAATCAACCAGTCATAGACCATCACCTAAAATATTTTTCACTGTCAAGTTCTAGAGCATAAAATTAGTCTTTATTGCTTTGACCATTACTGATTTTGAAGGCTGAGGAATGATCACATAGAAAAGGCAACAGAGCCTGGACCAGAAGGGCTCCCAGATGAAATGCATTTTGGCTGATGGCTTTCATTGGAACACTGACATGAAGGAGCTGTCAGGGCTCTGGGCGGTTTCCCTAGGGTGTGAAGGCCAGGCAGGTCATGTGGTTACTTTTCATCCTCTGCACTACTTCCTGAGAGCTGGACAGTGTCATTGAGTTTGGGCCCATGGACAACGCATACAAGGGAAATCTTGGAACTGCCTGACCGTTGTTCAGGGCCTCTGGTGCTGAAATCCTGCAAATCTCCAGGACAGAAGTCAAGATGTTTTCTGAGAAGTCTCCAAAGTCTCTCCAATGAATAAGAAAATAAAGTCAAGCTAGTGGCTTCTCCTTCGAATGATACCTGGTTTTATTTTTTTTAATTTCTTTTTTTCATCAACGTTTATTTTAAGTTCTGGGGTACACGTGCAGGATGTGCAGGTTTTGTTACATAGGTAAACATGTGCCATGGCTGTTTGCTGCACAGATCAACCCATCACCTATGTATTAAACCCACCATCCATTAGCTATTCTTCCTGATGCTCTCCCTCCCCCGACCCTCTCGACTGGCCCAGCATGTGTTGCTCCACATGTGTCCATGTGTTCTCATTGTTCAGCTTCCACTTACAAGTGAGAACATGTGGTGTTTGGTTTCCTGTTCCTGTGTTCAACCATGGTGGAAGACAGTGTGGCAATTCCTCAAAGATCTAGAAGCAGAAATACCATTTGACTCAGCAATCCCATTACTGGGCATATATGCAAAGGAATATAAAGGTACCTGGTTTTAGGATAAGGAGAGCTGCCAACTTAATTCATAAAATCAAACTTGGATCAGTCACAGTTTGAGATGTGAAAGAGGCAGACCATGCCTCAGTTTTCTCTTCTTTAAAAGTCACTTTCCCTTTGGTAAACTTTTTCTAATGATTACTGTCCCCACTACCCAGATCTTAGAGGAGTTTCTGTACATATAGTGTTTCAGTGGGTTTAGCGGGAAATCTCAAGATGATGATAGGTTTTGGAGGATGGGAGTTGAGAATACAAAGCTGAATTGCCTCTCCACCCAGTGGATGTTTTCTTTAATAAAGCCACCTTTTATTGAGGGCTATTTGCCAAGCATCCAGTCTAATACTTCAGATGTGCTATTTAATTGAATCCCCACAATATCTCTTTGACTTTGCTACTATTATAACCCTCCACTTTTCAGATAAGGAAACTAAAGCTTAGAAAGATTAACTTCTATTATGGGTTGAATTGTGTCTCCTCAAAAGATGTGTTCAAGCTCTAGCCCCTGGTACCTGTGAAGTGACCTTATTTGGAAATAGAATCTTTGCAGATGTCATCAAGTTCAGATGAGGTCATTAGGGTGGGCCCTAATGCAGTGTGACTGGCGTCCTGATAGAGGGGACCAATCTGGACACAAGAGACAGACATGCACAAAGGGAAGATAATGTAGAGACACAAAAGAAGAGGACAACTAAGCCAAGGTGGAGACAGGGCAGAGATTGGTGTGGTGCCTCTCCAAGCCAAAGAAAGCCAAGAATTGTGGGCAAACACCAGAAGGTAGAGGAAACAAGGAAAAGTCCTCCCCTTATATCTTTCAGAGCGAACATGGATGTGCCAATGCCTTTACTTCAGCCCTTGAGATTCTAGATCTGTGAAATAATAAATTTCTATTGTTTTAAGCCACCCTACCTCCTCGTACTTTATTACAGCAACTCTAGGAACCTAATACAACTATCTTGCCCCAAATCACAGAATTAGCAATCTTGCTAATCAGGATTTGAATCCATGTCTGTCTGACCCTTAAATCTATATTCATGTTTCATATTGTCTATACTTTACTACCAACTAACTAAGGCAGCATCTAGTAGAAACAATCAATTCTACCTAGGGAAGCTTTTACAGAGAAGGTGCCATTGAAGTCTGCATCTGAGGATGAGGATGAGTTTCCTAGGGGAGGAAGGGAGGAAAGAGAAATCCAGATGGAAATAAGAGGGCAAGCACATGAAAATGTACCCTGTGCTTCAGGAATAAATGTGGCTCATGCCTGGGGTTGCATGGGACTGTATGATAAGGAAATGTGATCATGCAAAATGGCTACAGTTTCTGAGAAAATCCTGGGAGCATGCCTGCAGGTATGTTTCTATAGTCGAGGAACATCCAAAATTCCGAAATGATAGGATGGCCAGTCTGTACCCATATCATGAGGCTCCTGCCCTGCACTTGAATGATGGAGCATTCCTGGCAGTGAATCCTTTTGGCACAGTCAACCTACTTACCCAGGGTGGGCTGGAAGATTCCATTAGCGAAGGAATTTACAAGATAAGGAACATTTTCTTTCCTTGTCATTAAATGCTGTCTCTTAATTAAGTTGTCTTCTTGCTCCTGATCAGAAAAGAATACCAAGAAGTCCTTTTCCAGGAAAAAGCTGATTTCTCCTCTCATCTCCTCTACACACACCCTGCTTCCCTACCCCCAATACGTCACTCAGTGATGGGCTAGTGCAGACAGCTGAGTAAGCCAAGCCACTGTGGAGGGAGTCCCCTTCATCTCAATGTGTGTGCGCCAGGGGAGAAGCATGGCCCAAGCACTCTGGCAGGTGCAAAGGGGGTGCTCAGAGCATGCATCTCAGACACAGCCATGCTGAGCTGCGTGATATCAGCAGCTGATCCTTTAATCTCACATAGAGAAGGTCACATGCTAGTTATTAGACGGTATCACTATTGTACCTCTAGATGCCCGGGTCTGCCTACTTTCTACCAATAAAGAAATTTTTACTGAACACTGTAGATTTTGATTAAATTCAGGTAAAGTTAATTTAAATGAGGCAAAAGAGGTTACATAGGCAGTGGCCACTGGTACTAGAATATCTCTACATGAATAAGAGGAAGAGAGTAAACACCTCGTAGCCATTTATAGCTTGTCTCTTTCTTTGTTCCGTGCCCCATAGTGAAGCAGTTTCAAAACGCTGCCAATTCTTTCTTTTTTCTCCTGCCTTTATCCGTCTCTTTCTCTCCATTTGCAGTATGTAGTTGACATGCACCTACTCATGCTTAAAGTTGCAGCTCATACTTCACCTCTCCTCTAAACACTTCCCTGACCTAACCACCTTCCCTCCCACATTACGCCGGCAGAATCAGGCACTTTCTTCTCTACGATTCAATTGCACAATGTCAGCACAGCTATTATGAGACTTATCACATCATGCTTTATTTATTTACACTTCTCTATGGCTGCAAAACAAGCCACCCCAAAACCGAGTGTCTTAAAACAACATTTATTACGATTGTTATGTCTCATGGTTCTGGAGTTTAATGGGCTCAGCCAGTTCAGCCAGTTCTCACTCAGGGTCTCCCAGTAACGACCATCAGACCAGGGCTCAGCTGGAATCATTGCCGACACTTCATCACTCACATATCTGTGATGGGAAAACTCAAACAGCTGGGGCATTTTGGGCCACCTCTTCACCCCTGTGTAGTTTCTCCTTATAGTTTGTCCCTCACAGTAGTTTCAGAGTGGCCACACATGCTACGTGGCCCCCCAGGGCTCCAAAGGCAAGTGTCCCAAGAGAGTGAACCAGGCAGAAACTGTATTGCCTTCTACCACTGAGTCCAATCACCCAGTGCCACTTTGACACAGTCCCAGGCCCACCCAGAGTCAATGGGGAGGGAGGGTAACACATCTCTCAACCCCACAGGGGAAGGTCAGCAACCTGTTGTAAGGAGAGCATGTGGGATGGGAAATACTCATGCAGCCATCTTTCTTTGGAAAATACAATGTGCCACAGCTATAAATCCAGTGTTTGGCAAAATGCCTGGCACTTAATGGTCTTTACAAATATAAGTGGTTGAATGAATGAATGACCCTTATCCCCCTGTATAGACCTTCTTATCTTATGCCCAGCTATTGAAAATGCTTCTATGCTTGCCTCTTTCTCTTTAGACTTTCTTATATCCAATTTATCATTTACCCTACTTTCTGAAGATCCATTTTCTAAAGCCCCTGCTTTTCTCATGTCTCCTTTTCAAAAACCTTCAGCGGTTCATAATTCCTTACCACAGTGTGAGGATGTTGTCCCAGCTTGTGATGCTGTGGAGTTCTGGTGAGTATAACACAAGTACACAGGTTCATATATGTACACCTCAACTTAACTATGGACTGAAAGAAGAGCATGCCTGGCACATGGATGTGCTGCTGTCTTTCAGATGAGCAGCTTCTTTTATTGATAGAAGTTGTCCTGAGTTCTGGTTCTAAGTGATGGAATAAAACATTATGTTTACTTCTGTTCCCTCTTGAAGTTACACACACACACACACACACACACACACACACCAGCAGAAGGATAGAAAGGAAACAGATCTTTAAAAGACTAGAAATAGAGACACAACCTCAAAAATGTAGAAGCTGGAAAGCCAATGGGGAGCAGCTATTGACTTCGTTGAAGTGATTTTTTATCAAAGAACTTCATTGTGGCTTAGGAATTGGAAACACCAAATGCCTCTAAAATCAGGAGAGAAGTTAGGTTGTAAAATGAAAATGAGTTAAAAGGGTGTATGAGAAGCAGTAGCTGCCCCTTCCCCACACTGGCAGAAGACGGGAGTTTTATTCTCTCGGACAAGATGAACCAGGAGGACTCTAGACATGGATCAGCAGGCACACTGATGATGGGAATGTGTTACTGAAAACAAAGAGAAGTAAATAAAAATCTACGCACGGAGCAGTGATATCTCGGGGTCCCTTTTCCTATTCATGAACTCTGATAGATCTGGCCTGTGCCCCTTCCCCACACCAATTAAGAAATTGCTGAATTTCCCTCTGACAGAGGAAAAAAACCAACTTACCCATGGAACAAAAGCCCATGAAAAAAAGACTTAAAGATTTTTACCACTGTGTTTCCCACATGTATTAACCTACAGTGAGGCTCACCCTTAGACAAGCCTCTCCTATGTACAAGGAATTGCCAATATGATTTTTCAGTGCTGATCTCCTAAATAGGAAGAGATAAGGGTCACTATATGGCCGGGCGCGGTGGCTCACGCCTGTAATCCCAGCACTTTGGGAGGCCGAGGCGGGCGGATCACGAGGTCAGGAGATCGAGACCATGGTGAAACCCCGTCTCTACTAAAAATACAAAAAAATTAGCCGGGCGCAGTGGCGGGCGCCTGTAGTCCCAGCTACTCGGGAGGCTGAGGCAGGAGAATGGCGTGAACCCGGAAGGCGGAGCTTGCAGTGAGCCGAGATCGCGCCACAGCACTCCCGCCTGGGCGACAGAACGAGACTCCGTCTCAAAAAAAAAAAAAAAAAAAAAAAAAAAAGGTCACCATATACTGAAGAGAAGCCACATCTGAAAAGTCAGGGACCAAAACAAATCAGTGGGACCAAAAAACTCAGAGGAAAGAAGAGCAATCCTAGGAGTAGTAAAAGGAGGGGTGGGAAAAGGAAGAGGAGGAGGAGGAGAAAGAAAACTGTAAGTATGACCTTCAGAAAGATTAAAGAAGATAGCAGAGACAAAATATTCAATATACAAATTGGAAAACAAAGGTGAAGTATATTGCAAGGTGGGACAAAAGATAAAGATGGAAACTAGAAAACCTAAGAAAATTAAAGGATTCATGATCATCTAGCATGTGAATCAGAGGAGTTCTAGAAAGAGAGAATGGAAAAGATGAAGGCAAAAATTATCAAAGAATTCGTGCAAGAAAAACTTCCAGAACAAAAAGACCCAAGTCTCCAGACAGGAATGGCTGTAAATGTCCAACAAAATTGTAAGAGAACATCCTACAAGCTTCCACAGAAACAGAATGAGGAAGCTATAAAGGATGGTGGGTCTAAATAGCATAGGACTTTTCACAGCAACACTGGAAGTTAAAAGACATCAGAAACATATCTTCAAATTTCCAAGGAAAAGTAATTTACAATAAAAAATTCTACACTTGCTATCAATAAAAGGTCAAAATAGAGCAAAGATATTTTTTCAGACAACTAAGGTCTCAAAAATGCAGTTTCTCTGCACTCATTCTTAAAATACTGGAGGGTGTGCCCCACCAAAATGAACACATAAATAAGAAATGCAAGATCCAAGAAACAGGAAATCCAACCCAGGGGTGGGGTGAAAGGAATTTCCAGAAGACTCAGGGAAAATGTTAGAAAGACACTATGTAATAGGTCCATGAGAATCCAGCTAAGATTGGAGCAGAGACCTAGAGGGCTCCAGAAGTCCTCCAGGAAAACATGAAACAGAGTCCCCGAGGTGTTTGAATGAACAAAAGTACTAAGAGGAGATTTAGCCACTAAGCAAAGTCTGGGGGTAAATTAGTGGTGACTACATCAAAAGTGAATTTTAAGTAGTATAATTATTAATTCCAGGGAAAACAACATATTGTAAAAGGAAAATGTAATCCCAGTACACCACATGGCTCAACTGTGAAGGACATGTACATAATCCTAATTGTGTACAATATAAAAATTAAATCTAGAAATGTAAAAAGAAGGAAGGAAAGAAAGGGAGGAAGAGGGGAAACAAGGAAGAAAAAATATTTTAAAGTGTTACTTACATTAAACCTTTTATTTTTCTTTTTACTTTTTTTTTTGAGACAAGGACATACTCTGTTGCCCAGGCTTGAGTGCAGTGGCACAATCTCAGCTCACTGCAACCTCCACCTCCTGAGCTCAAGTGATCCTCCCACCTCAGCCTCCCAAGTAGCTGGAACCACAAGCATGCACCACCATGCCCGGCTATTTTTTTGTATTTTTTGTAGAGATGATGTCTCACCACGTTGCCCAGTCTGGTCTCAAACTCCTGACTCAAAGGATCCTCCCGCCTTAACCTCCCAAAGTACTGGGATTACAGGCATGAGCCTGTAATAAAAAGTTTTAAAAGCTGCTGTCTAAAAGATGAAATCTAAACCCTTTTACACGACATTTAGGTCTTTCATAATAGCTTCATGTTAACTCATGATAGATCAGTAACACCTGATAACTTTCTTATTCTACAACTGTACTCCATCTTTTCCCTCCAAACTTGGAATTCTCCTACCACCTATCTCCACCCAATTTTACTCATGTTCTAAATTCACTCAGATTCTCACTACTTCCATAATGCATTTCTTGTCCCCATAGATCTTTCCCTTCTCTAAATTCCCACAGCAGTTACTGTCTGTACGTAGTTAGCTAATTGGGTTCTTTGCACTTCAGCTTTCAAAGTCTTATGGCTTATGTAAGGGGCTTACAAGTTCCTTGAGGACAGATTCTCCCACAGTGGCTCATGCCGTGCTGCAGAGCTATCTACATGGTAAGGACATTAACATTTTTTGAACAAATTAGCTAATTAATAATTAAGTTACTCCACCTTATGTCTCTCTCATGCTAGGCTTTTTTTGTTTCTTCTACTGAGCAACAGGGGTTTGTTGTAACTTTCCACTGATCTCTGCCTGTGGTTGCTGGGCTGTGCTGATGATTCAGTCATTACTTGGGTACCCTGCCCCCTTCATGCTCAGACCTAGGAACCCAGAAGGTGAGGGAGGTTTGGATCCAGATTGAGTAACCACGTTATGATACCTTGTTAGTGTCGATTTTGTTTTGGAAGATCTTGTTCCTACTGAACCCAAGGGCAAGAAGTTGCTAGTGGAGACTACAACCAAATTAATTCTTAGCACCATATAATGAAAAGACAACAGAACCATCAACTCTTAAAAGTGATTCCTGGCCCTGGCATGGTGGCTCAAGCCTGTAATCCCAGCTCTTTGGGAGGCCAAGGTGGGCCAATCACCTGAGGTCAGGAGTTCAAGACCAGCCTGGCCAACATGGCAAAACTCCATCTCTATTAAAAATACAAAAAAAAAAAAAAAATCAACCGGGCATGGTGGCATGGCCTGTAGTCCCAGCTACTCGGGAGGTTGAGGCATGAGAATCGCTTGAACCTGGGTGTTGGAGGTTGCAGTGAGACCAGATCACGCCTCTGTACTCCAGCCTGGGCGACAGAGGGAGATTCCGTCTCAATAAAAATTAAACTTAAAATATTAAAAGTGATTCCTGATGATGCTAAAAAAGAAAAGTCATGTATGGCCTTTCCAAACACAATTAGATCACAGGCAATTTCCTGCCCACAGGTGTCCCATGAGCATCACCTGAACTTTCAAAGGCCATTTGCTTGGCCTTGGGCACCCTGTCTAACCATCCACTTCCGACATCCCCTGACCCAAACACCCCCAGGTAAAAGGCGTCTGTAGCCAAAACACTCCATTCTTACTCTGCTCGTCAGATTCAGTCTCCTGAAGACCAGAAAGGCATGAGAACTACATATTCCCTTAAAAGAAAAGCAAAAATAAAATGCCCATTATGTGATCCAAAGCTCCATTTCTGGGTCACAGTTTACTGGACCTACCTAGGACCTCAGAGTGAAGAGATCCAGAGATCATCTAGACTAGCATCTCTCTATGTCTGCTGCTTCTGATGACAAATCCCCGTGGCTTGCCTGATGTGTAATGCTACTGCCTCTGCTTAGATATTACCATAAAGAAGAAGGACCTCCTTCAGCAAATCAATGGTGGGAGATCTATGTGCCATGTGCCAGGGACTCTTTGTTGGTAGAGGAGTAACTGAAGGGCATTTGCCTTGAATGCAGTAGTTGTTTACATTCTAAAATTACTAACCCAACCATCACCACCTGCCCATCAAGAGAATATAAAGAAAGCTTTAGACCATCTTCTCCAGAAACAAGCACATAAACATATTTTCAATGTAATTTTAATAGGTTCAAAAACTCCTGAAACTGACCCATAGATCTCAAGCTAAGAATCTTTACTTTAATGCTGTTTTTGAGGACCATGCAAATGGTGCTGGTCCACGTACTAAAACAACAATTAAATTATTCTGTTTTTGTGGTGAAAAATTCAAGCCTTGGAAAGTGAGAATTTTATCTCAAATTGTAAGAAGTATCCACCTGGAGCAACTGTGTCTCAGGGACACTGAGAAGGTTAGGAACACTGAAAAGAAGTGGGACAGCCTTGCAAGCTCGTTTATGTGGCTGAATATTTCCTTGACGTGCTCATTGACATTGTGCAATGGAAACACCACACTCCTCAGCATTGTGTTGGCAACTCCTAGGTTTCTGAAGGTTAATGATTTTATGGGTCCAGGCCTCACACATGTTGCACCTTTCAAAAGCTTCATTTCTCTTTTGTTTGGAGGAATTCCCAATGACTTTTAATTAAGTGTTTTCTCTGTTGGCAGGAAGGAGACAATAAAGGGAAAGGGTTTGTGCATTCTTGCTCACAAAGCCAATGCTATGTATTTGTGGTCGATGATTGATGGGTGGAGCACTTAAGGTTGCAATTGCAAAGTAAAACCCACAGGTAGATGTTGCCTATAAAAACAGTCTTGGGAAGGTATCTTCTGCCGCACTTGCATGGTGCATTCCATGGTCTATTTGGACTCTTGAAGCTTTCTTAGGCATTGGGCTCTTGCTCCTAGGGGCATGTACTTCCTGAAGAACTTATGGACAAGAAGTCAGCCCACTTGAATGAACTGATGTCAACAGAGAGCTGGACCAGATGTTTGGGGAAGGGAAGAGGTGTGGAGATAATTACTAGAGTAGGGGATACATGTGTCACTTCTTACAAGGATTGAAAAGAAGTTTCCTATTATGCCAAGTGAGATGACACAAGAAGCAGATCTTATTTCTCAATATTGATGCCTTAGTCCAAAAGGAATGAATCCATTCTTCTGCCTCCAGGCAATGCAACATTCAAAGAGATTGGGTTTTTGTTCTTTTTTCAGCATTCTCAAAGAAGGGCATTCCGGCCTTCTTTAACCTTGCATTCCAGAGCCTCACAGTGCCTATACTCAGGAAATAACTTCCTCAGGTTTAACTTCAATCCCTCTCCCTGCAATGTGAGACCATTGCTATCCTCCAAGGATTGGAAGAACAGCTGCCTGGCACCTTGCCAGTCACATCATTCCACTTTCCCATTGTTCAGCAAAGGAAATGGCTCTGGGAATCTGTTGCTTGGCTCCTCGTCCGTCACCCAGCAGGAACCCAGGCCAGATCTTCAGGCTCCTTTGAACAGTCACTTTGCTGCTGCACCAGGTATCTACTTGGAGCACTATTTTCCCAAGCTTCTAAAATTACCACAAGTGACTTATCACCCTCTGAAAACAAAACTCTCTCTAAGGGGCTTTGAGAGATGATATAAAAGAATGTTCTACATTTTTGCAGTGCTTTACCTAACATTTGTGCCCACAGAATTTCCAAGATAGGCCTTATAGCCATCATTTTAAAGATAAGGAAATGGGTCCAGCAAGATTGGCTCAACCAAAGTTCACGCAGATAAGAAGAACAGAAGCCAAGAGTTGGCCTTCAAATTATGATACTTTTAAGTTCAGCACTCTTTCCACTACACCAGAGTAAAGTTCTGGACCATGGATGTCTTGCCTTTGTGATTCTTAGTCTAACAAACTAGAGAGGCAGATACACAAGGAAATGAGTGTTAAACTCTTCAGTCACAAGAACTGTGGAATCAGTTGGGGTTGGTTAGGAGAACAGCAAGAAAGCCTCGTGGGATAGGTAGCATTTTAGGATAGTTAAGGGAGGTTCTAGAGACAGAGCGACCTGACTTACAGTCCTGGCTCTAACACAGGCTGTGTGACACCAGACAGATTCACTAACCTCTGAGCTTCAGTTTCCTCATGTATGAAACGAAAATAATATCTTTTTCACAGGGTTATTTTGAGAAGTAAATGAGATAATTAATATAAAGTGCTTAGCACAGGATCTGACAGATAGAAGAGCTAAATAAATTTTTAAATAATAACTATTCATGTTAGGGAGTGAATAGAGCAATGAAACTGAATGGAGTTAAATTGGGAAAGGTTTCATTGAGGAAGTGAAAGTGCAATAGGAATTTGAAAGCAAGATTGGGGCTTAGGGGAGAGGACAAGAAGCGGATTATTTCTTTGCCCTCAGTCTCGCGTAGGGAGGCTAGTTTAATCTCTGCATGGGGGTTCCCAACACTGCCTGTCTGCAGATTTTCAGATTTTTAAGTCACTTTCTGGAACAGTGTAAAAGCAGTACATCATAGGCGAGGCTGTGGACGGCTGGCTTACAGGATATATGGGGAGATGCCAACGTTAAAGCAAATTCTATCCTAGAATGAGGAACAGCTTCAGTATAACTCCATTAAAAAGGGAGTGTGCTGTAATGTTGAGCTATTCTTAGTGTGGATAACTCCTTAAAAGGTTAAGTCTAATGAGCTGGCTTGCTTGCCATAGATGTGCTGCTTCTGATACAGATGAGAGGGATGACCTCTTTAAGATTCTACAAATTATTGGAAATAGGGATATTGCAATTCTTGGAACTTTCCCATTGATTGATTAAGTAAATCATCTACTAAATGCAAATCTAATTTGAAAGGTATACATTTAACAGAATTAATAAGTGAATTGAGTAGGCAAAACGTTAGAAGTAGCCAAAAAATGCCCTAACTGATTGGAGACTTCTAAACAGGCTCCAAAGAGTGAGGAACTCAAGAAGGAAATTACTGGAGGCTCTTAGGGATTGTGGCAACACTGCTTTGGACATCTGCCCAATCCAGTGTGGATTTGTGGAACATGAACCACAATGCCACAACTATTTCCAAAGGCATGTAAATCAGGAATCAGTTTCTGTTGGTGTATGACAAGCCATTTAAGGCGCCCAGGCTGAAGGACTGTGGGATGTCCATCCTGTGCCTTGGTGCTGCCAACTCACAATGTGGGTTTCTGTGACTAGTGGAATGGAGCCAGGTAGTTCCACAGGCTACGCTGCCCTGAATGTTCCTCCTGCCTGGATTGCTGGCAATGCAGAGGGAAACACTGGTCTGGGAGACCCAGTTCATAACCTGCTTTGGAAGGACACTCCTCAAAAACAGGTGCTGAAATTAGATAAGCAAAGGGAAAATGGAAAGGGAGAAAGAAAATCATATTTATTTAAAATCTACTCTATGCTAGTCACTTTACATACATTGTTTTATTTAATCCTCACAGCAATCCCCAAGATAAGTATTATTAAACTCACTTTACAAAGGTTTAGTAGCAGTACTTGGATTGGAAACCAGGTCTGACTCACTCCAAAGTCTACAAGTCCACAGTTTTTTTACTTCACAAGGTTGCCTCAGGGAAATGAACTATAGTCTAATTCCTCTGAGACATTAGGATCTGTGTGTTAGACTAGAATGAGCTAGGGTTGCAGAGTTGGTTTCAGATAATGAAGACATGGAATCACTGAGTATCACGTCAAGAGATTTGAAGGTCATTCCATAGGCAATGGGCAGTCAAAGAAGGTTTTAGAATGGGGATGGGAGCAGAGAAATAATCAGAATTGTCCTTCCTGCTCAGAGTGGAATTCAGTGTGGAAGGGAATAAGAGAAGACTGAATGGAAAAGCAAATAAAAAGGAAGAATAGGTCCTAACCCTGGCAAGTTTGTAATAAAGGTTTGAACTAGATGGCAATCAAAAGACCAGAAAAAAAAAGGTACAGAAGATTGTATTTTCCTAAAACGGCCACAGTGATATTTCTCATCACACGTGCTCTTCCAGACGCTTGTCAGTCCCCTTCAAGAGGTGGAGCCTATGTCCCCTCTCATTGACCTGGGCAGGCCTTTGTGAATACCTCAGCTAACAGAGTATGACAGAAGTGATGCTATATGATTGTCGTAAACTGGGATACAGCTTCCACCTGGTTCTCTCTGTCTCAGGATGCTTGCCCTTGTAAGCCATTATGCTGTGAGAAAGACCAGGCCACCTAGGGAGACCAACATGAAAAGAAATGGGAGCGCATAGCCACTGGCCCCTGCTAAGCTGCCTGCCAACATGGCGCACTAGCTTACCAGATGTGAGTGAGTCATCCTGAAGTGAATCCTCCAACACTTAGGGAACTTCTCCACGTGATGCAACATGGAACAGGGATAAGCCTTCCAGATAGAGCCCTGCCCAAATTGCAAATTTGTGAACAAAATAAATGATCGTTGTTTTACGTGCCTAGGTTTTAGGGTGGTTTTTAATGCAGCAAGAGATAACCTGAACAAAAAGGCCCAATGGGAGAAGATTCACTGGGTGCTTCAACCAACACACATACAGAAGAATCCTGGCCAAATAGTAACAAAAGTCAATTTTATTTACTTGATTGTGTCTCTATTGCTCTGAGGAGTAAAAATTTTAGAGTTGGAAAATATTTGTGCATCTATTTACAACCACATAACAAAGTACTAATCACTGCGTTTCTATAGTATCCACTCTAATCGGGGGAGATGGTGATGCAGATGGTCCCCCTTAATGACAAATGATCTGATGGAGACCAAACCTGCATTGAAAGTCTACTATGTGGCCAGGCATGGTGGCTCACACCTGTAATCCCAGCACTTTGGGAGGCCGAGGCAGATGGATCACCTGAGGTCAGGAGTTTGAGACCAGCCTGGCCAATATGGTGAAACCCCGTCTCTACTAAAAATGCAAAAAAGTAGCTGAGCATGGTGGTGTGTGCCTGTAATTCCCGCTACTTGGGAGGCTGAGGCAGGAGAATCGCTTTAACCCAGGAGGCGGAGGTTGCAGTGAGCCGAGAGTGAACCACTGCACTCCAGCCCGGGCAACAGAGCGAGACTCCGTCTCAAAGAAAAAAAAGAAAAAAGAAAGAAAGTCTACTATGTTTTAGGCATGATGTTAGGAACTTTCACATTCCCTTTCTCATGTAATCTTCATAAAACTCCCACACAGTCTTGCTTCTATTTTACAGTGTCCAGGAGAAGGTCTAGAAAATTGATAAAAACCTCAAACCGAACCAATGAGTGGTAGGGACAAGATTCATATTCAAGTCTGATTCCAATGCTTAGTCTCTTTCCACTACGTCATTCTCCATATTTGCCAAAAAATGATTTCCTTTGGTTTTGGTGCACATGTATATTAACAATGTTTTTTGAGTTGTTTGGAGAGGATTCTTTTTTCCTTCCGCAGCAGCATATTTACCTTTCCTAGCTACTGTTTTTTAAAAAGAGAGTTTGCATTCCTGAAGCATATACAACCCAGTGGTGTTGAAAGCAGATGGTCCAAAAGTATGCTGTGAGACATGGGGACTGAAAATTAAAAGAAATTTTTTTGGTCACAGTTATAGAGTGCTATGGTGCTATGTATATAAATATGTATAATACCGAATGTGTCACAAATAGAAGTGAATTTTTCTTTTTTATTAAGTTGGCCATCACCCTTAATAAAGATGTTTTTGCAATATAAGCTAAGATATTTTGCTCCAATGCATGAGTGTCTTATAAATTAAAGTGCAGAACACACAGTTAATTGTGCAAAACATACAGATGTCTGCTCTGATCAGTCTGCTTTAGAATTCTGTCAGGGGTTTGTGATTGTTTGAAAGGGAAGTGTTCCCTGAGAAGGAGAAGTCAATGTGGAGGGCAAGAGGTGAGAGTCTCTCCCTCTGAGTGTCAGAGGGTTCAGTGATTGGCGGAAGTAAGCGTCCAGCCTCCTCCATTCTGTCCTGGCACTGTTACTGCACACTGTGACCTTGCTCAAGCATTAACCCCTTGTCTTTTCTTGTTGGTTTCTTGGAGAACAATCACACTGCACCAGCCTTACTGACTGCAAGTTATTTCTTCAAAAAAGTCATCCGCCTTTGTGCAAATCCAAATGCTTTTTATTATAAACAACCCTCTCTTTTTCCTTTTTTCCCCCTGACAATAATGCATGTCTTCCTCAGCATGCCATTTTCAAAACCTTTGACATTTCACTGCACCTCATCATTGCCTTCATTGTGGATCGTGCCAATTTGTCAGTTTTAATCTGTCTAAAAACCTGCATCTGCCAGCATAAACCTTTTTATTTCTTATATGTTGATACAAAGATTTCACACATTGATTTTTGTGTAGCTCTGATTTCATGCAAGCTAAGCAAACAGTGACAGGTTGGTACTTGGGGTAATGAATGCTCAATCAGATTAATACAAATCAATGGCATTGGCAAGTTTTGGATGAGGCGCAGGGAGTAGGGTCTGGACAGCATGTGCTGCCAGAACAAAACAGATGGTCAGAAGCTGACACTCTTACCTCTTTATCTTGATGGACTCATTAGCGGATTTCTCTCCTTTGGGTCTCATTTGAGTTTCTTGGCTTTAAATGGCACCCCATAGATTGCCTACCATCCTGGAAAACTACTGACATACCCTTCTTGTGACCTGGCACAGAGAATATTCTAGTGCCCAGGGTCTGTTTAGCAGCCTGGAAGGCCAGGACTTAGGTAAATGGGTGCTGGAGCCACTGTTATCCAATAGGACTACAGGATCCAAAGAGTTAATGTTCCTTTTAAGAACCTACTTTTCTAAAAACTACCATTTTTTGAGTGCTGAGTCCTGAACCCGGCAAATTATTTTATTTAATCCTCACAAGAAGTCTGAAAGGTAGATTCTATTATTATTGTTGCTCTTGTTTTTATTATTGTTATTTTATAGGTGAGAAACTCAGGATTAAGCAATTTGTCCAAGAGGGCACAGCGGGTGAGTGGAAAAGGCACAGTTTGGCTCTGGGTCTGTAGGACTCTGAAGCCTTGTGGTTAGCTACTGGTGTAACCCGGCATCGACTTTTCCCCGGGTCTCATATGCAAGGGCAGATGGCTACGCCTTCAGGCAGCTTTTTCAGTCCTGGACTGATTCCTACACATGGTTCCTTCTTTTCTTCCTGCAGGCCTCAGAGGCTGTCAGCTGTCTCTTTCCTCCCTTTTTAAAACATACCTCTATCCAAGGCTGGCAGAGGGCCAGGGCATCGTCTCCTTGGCTCGGCCTCTGCTACTCTTGCTCCAAAGGGAGCACCATCCCAGGAAAAAGATAACGAGAGCCAAGAGGTTTCAGTCTCCCTCAGATTTTTATAGCCATTGATCTAGCAAATAGAGATCCTGACTTCCTATTTTTAAATTTTTATTGTTTTTAGTGATTTCCTTTCTAGATGGTGTCTTGAGCTCTCTGTTAATTGACTTGGCTGCTTATACTGCATGAGAGCTGAGAGTGATACAGCTTGAAAGAATTGCTAAGATGTGAGATTCTTAGGCCTGGCCTAAACCTCCTTTATAATCTTTGCCCCAAGAATGAGTTACTTCTGCATTTCTTCATTTCTTTGCATCTGTTCAGCTTCTCCAAGAACACTTCTATTCCAGGCATGGGGCTTCAAACTTCAGCTTTGCAGATGCTTTCCCATACTCAGAGCAATCTCCTCGGCCCCAGATGCCAATGTCCTGTATTCTGCTGGTTTGCCAGCAGATGCCAACCCTGCCTCTACCTGCCTTTACTGTCCGCGATTAATTAGGAAACATCCTTTTCCACAAACTCAGCCTCTGAGCTTTGCCACCTTGTTTCACAGTCACCCTTCAAACTTCTTTAAAAAAAAATATTTCTCTATCTAGAATTCTTCGACATTGTTTTCCTGGTTTCCCAAACTCTGTGGTTTCTCCTCTAACTTATTTTTCCACCACTGCTGAAAGTGTAAACCCCTGCTCAGTCCTTTCTTTCTGCTCTTCAGCTTTTACATTACCTGCCCTCAAGAGTTTATCCAGGCTCATGGTTTCAACTACCATTGCAATAATGATTCACACATTTCCAAACCTAGGAACTCTCTGCTCTCTTCTTAATTCCAAATAGCTTCCTATGGGAAATTTCTATGCAAAGATTCTACCATTATCTCAACTTACTGTGCCTAAACTTCCCATTTCTCTCCTTCCCATTCTTCCAGGCTCACTGGTTTCAGCTTAAACGTGTTCTCTCCCATTAAATTTACTCATTTATCCATTTATTCATCCATCCACTCAGTTATTCATTCACTCATTCAGTAAACATTTATGAAGCTCCTATTCTGTCATGTTCTGGGCAAAGCACTGAAGATACAAAAGTAAATGGCATATCCTGAATTTCTAATGTTGAAGATCCTCCATCAATCAACGTCATTCCCTATACAACCTTTCTTCTTATGGTTTCCAACCACACTAAGGGCTTCAGTCAAACTGGTCTCCTATCCTTCACACAAACATGTCCTTTCCTTACCTTTACGCCTTTGTTGTTGTTTTTCCCACCTAGAATAACTTTCTCCAATCTTTTGCCATCTAAAATCAACATCTCATAGGATTTTGTCATTCAATGGTTCCTTTCTTCTGTTGTGATCACAGGCAGTAGGAGGGCATGGTAGAGAATGTTTTAGTAACAGAAGTCTTAGAATCCTTTACCAAAGTTGTCATAAGCAAGCGTGTATTTTGTCAGTAAGAATAATATTGATTCTTTCATTTACTCATTCATCTAATCATTCACTTCTGAGCTCTGTGGAAAAAGGCATGAGCTTCCCGAGTATATAAGGCCAGTGCCTGGGTGACTGTCCATGCCACTGCTCACCATGGACCCTGGGTATGACTCAGGGTCTTAAGCCAACCACACACAACTCCCACTTCACAGCCAACTGCAGAGAAGTGGGACAGGCAAAGGATGTGTTACAGACTTTGGCCCAAGCCAAGATGTTTGTAAACTAAGTGCTGGGAAAGAAAGTTGGGAGGCACAAAAGAAATATAGTTATTCTCCCAGCTTTGAAAAACTCTTACATGGCCTTTGAGAGATTGAATGAGTGCAGAAGCCTCAATCCGTTCGTTTTTTAAAAAATTTGATGCATACTGAGTGCCTACTAAGTGCCATTCACTCTGCTAAGTTCTAGGGATACCATGGTGAGTAATAACTGCAGAAAAGCTACAACACAAGCAGAACTCAGCTCTTTCCCAAACAGATCCCTCTTCCCAGAGCCTTCTCTCTAGGCCTTTTAACATTCTGATGTAAAGGCAATCCCATTCTACACAGATGGATATGCTGAGACCTAGTATAACTGACTTTTCAAGTTCACATTGGGAGTTAAACACTATCAGAATAAGAATCTTGAGCTGTAGGATTTTTCATGGGTATTGCCTCCCTCCTTCTCATTCTGTCCCATGTCACATCCTCAGGTGAGTGGAGCTGGGTGCTGGGGTATGGTCACAAGGGTCTTTGGTGTTGACCTATGCCCTAGAGCAGGAGTGTCCAATCTTTTGTCTTCCCTGGGCCACACTGGAAGAAGAATTGTCTTGGGCCATACATAAAATACACTAACAATAGCTGATGAGAAAAAAAATCACAAAAGAAACACATAATGTTTTAAGAAAGTTTATGAATTGGTGTTGGGCTGCATTCAAAGCCATCCTGGGCTGCATGTGGTCCATGGGCTGTGGGTTGGACAAGCTTGTCCTAAAGGATAAAGCAATTAATCTTGCCACTATTGACCTGATAGCCTTGAAATTGGATATCCCCCATTTGTGTAGCAAATGTCCTTGGAATACTATGTAGAACAGACACTTCTGACCATCACACCTTCTTTCAAGCTGTGACTCCATAGCTTTTCCTGTGTTGGATGGATGCGTGAATAGATTTTCATTCATCTGCTAGTTCCCTGCAGATTAATGTTTAGGTCACATTCTTTTTAAAATTTTCAAAGAAATGGTTTCTTCATGATGTCATATATGTAGAGATTTGTTATCAGGAGTCACTAATTTCTTAAGTTCGCTTCACTTAAATCTAAATCTAAATCATGCTGTACATCCACAATGGGCCATAGCAGAGGACATTATCTTTTGCTACCACTTGGTAACACAGGCAGAACTTAAGGACAAGATAAGAGCTCTGGTTCTGGTTTAATTAGAGCCCTGGCAGTCTCACCTAGAACTCAGGTGGGACCGCCAAAGGGAGGGATAGTAACTATCAAAATGACCTTTTTCTTCCAGACCCAGCCTCAGCTGCATAGGGAAAGCAGTTGCCCTGTCACTTGGACCTGCATAGATGGGACCCAGGTCTCTGTCCTTTATAGTAGACTAAGGCATAGGAAGGCTGGTGAAAGGCGCATGGCACTAGAAAGCTGGAGAATCTAGCTCCAGTTAACATCCTTAGATCTCTTCCACCTACTCTGTCCCTCCCTCCACCCCATCCTCCTCTCTAGGACTGGCCCCAGGAGAGAAAGCCCACACCTGGACTTGGGCTAGGCAGAGAGCTCTCAGATGAGACTAGCAGGCTCCAACCAGTTTTTAACTCCAGCTTCTAAATCTTCCTCCTCTTCCACTCTGATCCATAACCCATGTCTCAGAGTGGGAATGATGTTAAGAGTCTTCATTTCACTTCTTTCAATTGGGTAAATAGATTTGTTAACACAGTGAATAATTACTCACCAGTAAATGAATTAGCTTAATTTGTTTAAGTGCAGATCATAGATGAAACATCACGTACCCATCATTTTAAGGTATTGATATAAACAAGAGATCAAGTCAGACAAAGGCCATGAATTCAGTGCTGCATGAAGGACAAGTTAATTGAAAAGCGAAGCAATCAATTCAGCACAGTGCCAGCTGCCATGAGGGATAATGAAAGCACAGTTCCCTGTCTTCAAGGAGCTTTGAATCAAATGCAGGAGTCCAGAAATTCATGGCAATTAGGAAAAAAACAAAGATACTACAGATACAAAACAAAATATATGGAATAAACCAGACTTTTCAGGTAGAAAAATTTCTTTTCAAATGATAGATTTTGATTTGGGTATATTAATATGTAAAATCACCAAAGCCATTTATTAAATCAGAAAACTACATACAGCCAAAATTTTTAAAAATTTTAATATCTAAATTATAAATCGTAAGTTATTCAATATCTCAGAGATAAGGACTGTTACTATTTTGGTATATGTCTATTTAGAATCATTTTTGTTCAAATAATTGTCATTTTAAATAAACAAGTTCACACCATAATACAGTTTTTAACTTATTTACATTTAACAATATATTATGAACAAAAATCAAAATATGGTTACAAACTGTAGATGATACAAAGCCAGGGAGGATAGCTGGTGGGAAAGAATCACAGTCTAGAAGAATCTAGAAAGATCTTGGCAACACAGTAGGAGGGCCAAGCTAAAAAGATTAAATTTAAACAGGGATACTTTTAAAGTCCTGAACTTAAATTGAAGAACTTTAGGTCTTAGTTACCTGTGAATATTTCTTAGCTTTCAGAGTATTGATGGAAACTAGGCTGTCTCAACAAAAGCCTGGTGTCCGTAAGAGGAGGGGAACATCTCTCTTTAGGTTGTGCTGGTCTGACCATATGCTGAGTTCTACACTCAGTTTTATGACCAATGTTGGTCAAGAGGACAATAAACAAGATGAAAACTATGTCAAATGAGTCATAATTGCAACAACTAGAAGTGCTTAGCTGGAGAAGAGGAGACTTTAGGCTGTGTGTGTGTGTGTGTGTGTGAATTCTTATTTACACATGCGAAGAGCTATCCTGTAAAAGAAAGATTTGATGTATTCTACGTAACTTTAGAGGGCAAAAATAGTTGGACGACTCTGAGATAATCCTCACAGCATCGTAGGAGAAATAATTATATAAACATCTGAGCTGTCCAACAATGGACCAGACTGCCTTTGTGGTAAGGAGTTCCCCTTTCTTGAAAATACTTAAGCATAGGTAGAGAGTGTACCAGAGGTTCATGACACTGGACTTGAAGAATCCTGTGGTCCCTCCCAACTCTAAAGATTGTAAGACAAGATGAAATAATATCACCAAACCAAATAAATAACTTACACTTGATTTGTGGATTTGTGCATGTGTGTATGTTTGAGTACAGTTGACCCTTGAACAATATGGGAATTAGTGTGGCTCACTAACACTAATGCTCCGTCGAAAATCCAACATGTAATTTTGACTCCCTCAAAACTCAACTACTAATAGCCTGCTGCTGAATGGAAGCCTTACTAATCACATAAATAGCCGATTAACACGTATTTTGTATGTTATATGTATTATATACTGTATTCTTACAATTAAAGTAAGCTAAGGAAAAATGTTATTAAGAAAGTCATAAGGAAGAAAAAAATGTACTTACTCTTCATTGATCCAAGTGGAGGTAGGTCATCATAAAGGTTTTTATACTCATAGTTTCATGCTGAGTAGGCTGAGGAGGAAGAGGAAGAGTTGGGGTTGGTCTTGCTGTCTTAAGAGTGGCCGAAGCACAGGAGGTGGAGGACATGGAAGGAAGGGCAGGAGAGGCAAGCACACTGAATATAACTTACATTGAAAAAAGTCCACATGTAAGTGAACTTGTGCAGTTCAAAAGTGTGCTGTTAAAATACGAAGTGTATATGGATGTTTAAATTATCTACACGTTCAAATACTTGCATCTAGGGAACTTTCTTTTAAAAATATATCTTGAGCTTAAATCTAAAATCAGTTGCCTGCCTACTTCTCCAAGATGTAGAGGAGAAAAACAGACTGAGCTTGAATTCCAGTTGCCCTTTATCCCAGCAGTACGACCTTGAGAAATAAGGGTAAACTTTGAGTCTTATCACACTTATTTCAAAAATAAGGAAAAAACAGAGAATCAAAGGAGCATTGTGAAGATTAAGTGACTTATGCTATCACACTGCATGATGCATATCAGGTACTTAATACATAGTAATTATTATTATTATTATCATACTGGCCTTTGTCATCCTCTTTCTCCCCAGTGTCTCTTCTCACTCTCCAACTTTATCTTTCAAGTCACTGTTGGCTTATGTCTGTGTCAATATTCATCTGTCTCATCTCTCCTATAATTCTGCAAGTGGTGTTTAATGAAGATTAGAATGACAAGGGTGTGTGGAGTATAAACTATAAACACGATGGTATAAGAGAAAAAAGTGAAGGAAGAGAGTGCCAGAGAAGCAGAACAGGCCAGCTCTTTCCCCACCTCCAATCCCTATGTCCTTTCCCCACCCCCCCAAAAAAGAGAAACAGGAAAGAAAGCCAGTGGAGGAAAAGATACTGTCAAAAGAACAGAAGTGGAAACATTGGATCAAGGCAGGATCTCACACTGGAAGGGGCCAGAAGGAAGTGAGAAGCAACAGACAAATCGCCAGGTCCAGAGTGAGTGGAATGAAAAAGATAGATGGTCTTAAAAAGAGATAACTAACGAGTCTCCGATAACTTTAATTTTCTGGGCCTTGGTGAGCTCTGCCTAATCTTCAATTAAATGGAAATATAAGTAGCTGAGAAAGAAGCCAGTGGATGGGAACTGACATAATGGACTATATTGACTCTCTGAGAGATATAAGGAACCTTCTAAAAGCATAGTATTTTACACGATCATTTGTCAGGCTTCCTCTGGGTGAATGATCTCCTTCGGGGGAGGTAAGTGGATTGGCTAATCTTAGTGTTTTGTTTAAAGTGAACCCTGCATTGTGCTAGAAATCTGTTCACTTTACTGAGCAGACAGGGAGAGGGAAGGAACACAAACACGCCCACCGCTCTTTCTTTCTCCTGAGGGGCCTGATTAGCCAATTGCCCAACTGAAGATCCAACATCCACTTTTCTCCACCTGCCATTTTGCTCTTTAACTCATCACCTTCTCCATCAGGGCCCTTGTTTGAATGTAATCGTTCTTATCTTCCTGCTCTCACAGGATGGAAATAATCTACAGACCATCTAAGCATGTACCCCATGGATACCACCTCCTCCCTCCACCCCATTTGTCTACCCATAGAAATACCCTTAGCTCCATGACTTGCCTCTTCTATCTCTGTACTTAGTGCTGGGAGAGTCCCTGACTCCCAGCCTACAGTAATCCTCCTGTCTCTCTCATTATTGTCTTCACTAACAGTTCTCCAGCTTGTCAAAAAACCCAAACGCAAAGGTCCAGGCAGAATTTCCAGGAACAGGGCCTGAGGATCTGTACTTTCACAAGTTCATGGTTGATTTTAATGCACAAAACAGTTTGAGAACCACAGGGTTTCGTGTGATTTGTTTAGGACTTAATCTACATTGCCATGTCTTGTATGTTAATTTTTCACAAGTTGGGTCTAGCCTCCAAAAGTGAACTATGATTTCCTTCTTGATATTCCCCTTCCCTTGCACATTGAGAGGTGCTCAGAAAATGTCTGCTGGAGACAATGCTAGGATAATTTGGGTTTTGGTGTTAATTTTAATAGCAGCAGGTTGAGGACATGCTGGTTTTGCACAACTCTATCTTACTAACATCACGAAGCCTACCGATCTCTAAGCACTCAGCCCTTGAAGATTTGTCCTAGGGATTGGGATTTTTAGAAACTTCCCATCCAGCATTCCCTCCCAGCTTGTCCATCCTCCCCACATCTAATACAATAACGCTAATGCGCTCTCACTACCAACAGCAACTTACTCCCTGAGGAGAAAAAAAAATCACCAGGTGACCATTGAACAGACCCTGGAGACAAAAACTCCTTATCTGAGGAATTTAGAAGGAAGCAAAGACCACCTGGTGACCCTCAAAACAGGCCATCAGAGGAGGCAGAGGCAAAACTCCTTATCTGGGGAAAATTAGCAATAATTAGACTTCCCTATTATCCAAAGCAAGCATCTCACTCCAGATTTCTTCCCACTCCCTCCACCAAAACAATTTATAAGTAACTAAAATTTCTATATGTCTCTGGAATGCCATGCAGAAACTCATTTTACAACCCTAAGTTCCCACTTTAAGGTCCATAAATACCCCTAAGGAAAACTCCAGGTCAACGCTGGGTCCTCTGGCTGAGGCACCCCACTGCACTCTTCCACAGCACATTCTTCCTTTCTGATAAACTTTCCTTTTTCAAACCTATACTGTTGTCGGTAGATTCTTTTAACCAACCTGTGAGTCAACCACTTTCCAATGCCAGGGCTCTGACACCTCGCCTGGCACTCCCAGTGCTTGTGATACTACCTCAGTGAAATGATTTTTGGGGGTCACAATTACCATATGACAAAAGTTTTCATCTAAGTTCTTCATTCTCTCCTATCACTTCATCTCCCAAGAGAAGAGAAATCTAGACAGAGAGGACAGAGACAAAGGTCCTGAAGCAGATAAAAAGCTGTCTTTGGTTAGAAACTGTGAGGATCCATTTTATTTCAACTTGACTGATCTAAGAAGTGCCCAGGCAGTGGGTAAAACATTACTTCTGGGTGTGTCTGTGAGGCTGTTTCCAGACAATATTAGCATTTGAATCAGTGGACCAAGTGAGGAAGATCTGCCCTTACCAATGTGGGTGGGCATTCTCCAATCCATCGGAGGCCTGAACGGAACAAAAAGATGGAGGAGTGGATTTTCTCTCACTCTTCTTAAGCTGAACCATCCATCTCCTCCCCTCAGATAGCAGAGATCCTGTTTCTCAGGCCTTTGGACTCCACAGCTTATGCCATCGGCTCTTGTGGTTCTCCAGCTTGTAGACAGCATATTGTGGGACTTCTCACCCATCATAACGGTGTGAGCTAATTCCTGTAATAAATCTTCTCTTTATCTATCAATCAATCAATCTGTCTATCTATCTTCTATCTAATTTATCATCTTCTGTCTATCTAATCTATTTTCTATCTCATTTATCTATCTTCTATCTTTCTATTTATTTGTCTATCTATCTATCTATCTACTATCTATTGATATCTATCTATCTATATCTATCTACCTATCTCCCATTGGTTATTTCTCTGGAGAACTCTAACTAATACAAGAACATATCAGATATCTCCAGTAAAGTGACTAAAATGGTGGATCATGTAAACCCACGAAGAAAGGGGACACACTGTGTTGGAAAATAATTAATTCTTAGGTCATATTCATATACATTTTCACTTTATGAATGGGGGTTAAATAATTTCAAGGTAATTCGAGATGTATAAAAGCAGTCTCAAAGTCTGAACTGAAAATATTAAACGTGTCTCAGTGAGAACATAAGATGTTTGCTTGTGTACAAGGTGTTTTCTGCCTGACTCACACTTTCACTGAGACTGTAGCTCCCCTGTAAATAAGAACACTTCCCTACAAGTCCTTCTGGACCCAAGCGAGGGCAAAGTTACAAAATGCAAGAGTCGATTTTCTCTTTCACTTTCTTGTCACTTAATTCCTATTTTCAGTAGACAGAAAGGCCGGTGGCTATTTACAATTAATATAGTTTCAATATAAAAATTCTTACCAGTTGATCCAAGAGTTTACTTCTAGGATCCGGGTGAACCACCATCTATGAAAGTTTACCAGCTCTAAATCCTACCCATGCTGAATTGAGTCCAGTGCCAATCTTAACAAATAGGAGTGCACACTCCCTGTTCATTCTTTGCTTCTAAACCCTCAGATAAAGGCATGCCAGTTTTTTTCTCTTTCCTGCCCTCAATTTGCCATTTCTACTTCCAGTTCTGAAGATGCTCTTTTCCCCACCACTGTTCCTCTTTAAATTCCACCTGTATTTCAAAGCTTGGTTCCGGTAATATCTTTTTTACAGGACTTTCTCCAACAACTTATCCTCACACTGATCACCCGGTGTTCCTTTAAATAGAACATCATTGAGTCAACTACACAGGTTAACTCTCTGGTCTTTATTTCTGGTGTTTGTGCTTTGTCTCTTCAAGTAGATGCAAATGTGTCTGGATTTTGATATCAGACAGGCACACCTTCCCACAGACTAGTCTTGTGACCTTGAGCAAGTCACTTCTAAATGTCTCAGTTTTCTCTCTGTAAAATGGGGAGAATGTAACACCCCATAGAGAGTTATAGTGAGGACTGGTCAAAGTAATTGTTCATTATATGTTAGATATTATTGATGTTAAACAGTCCCTTACAGAGGTGTCCAGCTCAATGTCACAGTAACATGGCCTCGCAGTCCACATGTAAGCCTCTAACTGGCATGACCTTTTTCTCCAGCACCTGATCTAGTCTGTAAGCCTTCTAGAAAATTCTTAAAGCTCATGGTAGAAGAAAGTTTTTTCTTACATACATGATATACAATATACACACACACTTACAAAATAGATGTCCATATACATCTTCCTACTTTCTAAAATTAAATATTTAAAATGGAAACTTAAGTTGTCAAATAAAATGAAACTGGCCCCCAAGGAATACAGGCACATTACTTTGGTAACTCCCTGGACCTACCGAAAGTGCCACCCGGGCTGCTTCAGGAGTTATAATCCTGGAAATTTTATTACGTACTTAACCATCCATGTAGACTTGGAACAAAAATCTTCAGTTGTTCATATCTAGCTTTATTTGTAGGCAGCCTAACAGATGTGAATTAAGGAGTAGCAGCCTCTGTCCAAAACACCTCCCTCATTTGCTGTGGAAGTGCTAATGGAGAGTTACTCCTCTGTGATAAGACTGCAGATATGTTTATTAGAGAAAAACCATCTATGGTGGTGTTAAGGACTGAATTATGCCCCCCTCCAATTCATATCTTGAAGCCCTAATCCCCAATATAACTGTGTTTGAAGACATGGCCTTTAAGGAGGTGATTAAGGTTAAATGAGGTCATATGAGTGGGGCCCTAATCCAATATGACCCATGTCCTTATTATAAGACAGACATCAGGAATGCGTATGCACAGAGAAAAGGCCATGTAAGGACACAGCAAAAAGGTGGCTGTTTGCACACCAAGAAGAGACGCCTCAGGAGAACTGTGCTGGAAGTTCAAGAGCTGGCACCTTGATCTTGAACTTCCAGCACCCAGAACTGTAAGAATATTAATTTCTGTTGTTTAAGCCAACGAGTCTGAAATGCCAAAAGACATGCATTCTCCATGTTAACGAAAGTGTCCTCAAATAGACTAATGAGTGAGACTCCTGACCATCACCACAGAAAGCAGCTGACAGCACTGAAACTCAAAACAGGGCAGTTTAGCTGGAAGAAGGGGCACTAAGAGTAGATGGGAAAGACTATTTCAGCATACGGACTGTTGTCAAGGGAAGACAGATGAGAACAAGGTGCTAGAGTGGGCGGCCCTGGGCAGTTCTTTCTTCGAGGCAGTGGGGCTTCTGCAAATGAGAAGGATGGAGGCTGCAGGTTCAAGACAACCCTTCTCTTGTAATGCACTCTGACCATGGCAACATGGTACCAGGGGAATGATCACTACCATAACCAGAAGGGCTGTGTCAGAATATCTATTCAGCAGTCTATCTCAACAGACCCTGAGCCATGATGTCTGCAGTCTCTTAAAATGTTTAAGAAAAATACAGCCAGCAGAATTCCTGGGGATGGTGAGGTCAGGGCTTGAAGGGGTTCAGGACTCAGAGTATGGTGCTTGGAGAATATTTGAATGGTTTTCTTTCCACCACTGCTTTTCCAAGCACATCTAAACACCACCCACATGCCACTCCCATAAGATGATTCTGGTTTGGTAGTCCAGAGACCTGAGTTCAAGACCTTTCTAAGGGCCGGGTGCAACGGCTAATGCCTATAATCACAGCACATTGGGAGGCCAAGGTGGGAGTATTTCTTGGACCCAGGAGTTCAAGACCATCCTGGGCAACATCACAAGACCTCGTCTCTACAAATAAAAATAAAAATTAACCAGGCAGGGTGGCACGCACCTGTCGTCCCAGCTACTCAGGAGGCTGAAGTGGGAGGATCGCTTGAGCCTGGGTGGTCTAGGTTGCAGTGAGCTATGATCACACCACTGCCCTCCAACCTGGACAACACAGTGAGACTCAACAAAAAAAAAAAGAAAAAAAAAAAGAAATATATCTGTGAAACTCTTCTAAATTCATTGCTTTTAAAATACAACACTACAAGTTATCAATCTTGCAAGTCCAGGTTTCCTCCTTTTTAAAAGTGTGGTAATTTTAGGTGGTGAAGTATACAGAGAACCCTAGGCCACAGCATGAATCTGTACTCTAATCTCTGCACCCCCTGCTCGCTCTGTGGCATTTGGCATACATGCCTCTTTCCTGTCTAGGTCTCAATTTCCTTGTCTATAAAGAATGGGGATAAATTTTATCATTTATAAAGTCCCTGCCAATTCCAGAGCTCTGGTGTGCTATTAAAAAAAAATCCTTGAGGGCAAAGAACAGAGCGTGTGTTTGCGTGTGTGTGTGCACGCGTGCACGCACTGCATCCTCTTAGCTCTGCAAGAGGTAGAATGGACAAAGCAATTTGTTCACTAAAATGGCACAATCATTCTTGCTTTGATTTGTCTGACTATAGGAAGCACTCATCGCCACAGCACTTCTACCCACACATTAAATATTACCAATCAGCAAAATGTGAAAATATACATGTGGAGTGCAGAAAAACCCACTCAGGGAGGATACTTAGAGAAGGTAGGTCCTAAATTGCAAATGCCAGGAAAAAAAAAAGAAATCCACCCCAGCTGCCCCTCTGGCTGCAGTGAAATGCCAGGGCACTGCACAGGCATCTTGAGAACTTGGAGCCACACAACAGGGTGCATTCAGTGCTCCAGAGCCATCCGCTGCCCCACATGCTCTGGCACCAAGATACAACGTACATGCCAGTCCCTGAATTACAGTCAACCTGAAGCAGCGTCCGCCAAAGATTAAATCAAAATTTACCAGGTAAAACCCAAATGTGGTAAAGGTTCCAACAGGACAATTGGGAAAAGTGTATTAAAATGAAAAAAGAAGAGAAAAGTTTAGGGGAAAAAAAGATGCAGCCAAAACAAGGCAGCCATTGGAATTTGCCAAGTGGCTCCTTTAATTAAGGATGGTCTCCTTAAATTACATTCATTTCTCTTACCCTTTTCAGGGCAGTCCAGGGTGAATAATATGTTTGTTTCTGGCTGAAGAGGTGCCAAGTTGAAGGCAGTTTTTGGTTAATAAAACTAGTTCATGCTATCAGCCAGAAGTCCTGTCTACTTTTAGAAATCAAGAGAAACTAGTTTGATCTTAATCTTCAAGAATGACAGAACCTATTAATCCATAGCATTTTTATTTTAAAGCATATTCAGGACAAGTGAGAAGAGTAAATAATATTTCACCCTACTTTTCTGTTCCTGGAGACTCCTTCTACCTGGCTTAACACATACTAATACTTATGTTTAGCACAGCCTGCACACAGATGCCAGGCAAATCATTCCAGAAACTCTTTTAATTACTTTTTTCCCAACTCAAAAACTAGCAATCATTTTCCATTATCTATAAGACAAAAAAAATCCCCATTATTTATTTTTTAAAGATGGAATCTTACTGTATTTGCTCAAGCTGATCTCAAACCCCTAGATTCAAGCGATCCTCCCATCTCAGCCTCCCAAAGTGCTGGGATTACAGGTATGACCCACTGTATCAGGCCGGAAATTCCCATTCTTGATTCTGACAGTTAGAAATCTGAGCAGTCAATTGCTTTATCTCCTCTACCCTCATCACCCACCTCTAAAGCTTAGCCCTATTTATTCTCAACACAGCCCTTGGCGCCAACCAGACTGTCTTCTTCAATATCACCCACAATCACAGACTTACCCATCACTGTGCCCTTGTGGATACTGGTTTCTATTTTATTTGTCCAATTCACTGCTTTACCCTCAACTCCTAGCAGAGGACCAGGCATGTAGGAGGTACATAACAAGTATATGCTGAAAAAAAGAAAGAATGCAAAAGGGATAGACAATGGACTTAAAACCATTCCATTGCTTCCACCAGGCTGTATCTTAATTATCCCTATAAGGGCCACTTCAAGTGCAGCCTGCTCCATGAATCCTTCGGCTGTCTATCACACACTAACCTCTTGTGTCCTTTGAAGTTATGTAGACCTTACTAACCTGTTGAGGATGAATTTGACTGCTTCTTGTTTTTCTCACAGTGCCTAGCCTACAGCGAGTCTCTCAGTGGGTTCCTCTAATTTTCCATTTGAAGAAAGAAAAGGAAGTCAGTATTTAAAAGACTTGGATGCTGTATTTCCCTTTCAGTGCTGTCCAAGATGTTTTACTTAAATGATTTTCCTCTTCTTTTTCTTTTTTTTTTTTTTTTTTTGAGATGATAGAGTCTCGCTCTTTCCCCCAGGCCGGACTGCAGTGGTGCTATCTCAGCTCACTGCAAGCTCCGCCTCCCAGGTTCATGCCATTCTCCTGCCTCAGCCTCCCGAGTAGCTGGGACTACAGGCGCCCACCACCAAGCCCAGCTAATTTTTTGTATTTTTAGTAGAGACAGGGTTTCACCGTGTTAGCCAGGATGGTCTCGATCTCCTGACCTCGTGATCCGCCTGCCTCGGCCTCCCAAAGTGCTGGGATTACAGGCGTGAGCCACTGCGCCCGGCCTCCTCTTCTTTTTCTGATTTGTGTGATGTGGTCCTCATCTGCTGTCCTTTTGCTCTCTCTGCAGTTCAGTGCTGCATTCAGAGGACAGGGTTGGAACTAGATTGTCTTGGCTCACAGCCCAGATGTGGAATTTCCTAGCTCTGTGACCTTGGGCAAGTTACTTAACTTCTCTGAGTTCTCAGTTTTCTCATCATAGACTTGTTATGAAGGTTAACTAAATTAAACTGCTTTGAACATTGCCAGGTACATAAAATGCCAAATTCATATGACCTTTGATTATGCTCTAGCCACACTGGTCTTCTATTTCTTGAAACACGCCATACACCTTTCTACTCCAGAACTTTCACATATGTTATTCCTCAGTACCTGAAATCATTTCCTTGCTCATTCTTTCCCTTCAGGTCTCATGTTAAATGGCACTTTGTTAGGGATGCCTTTCTTGATTCATATGCAGTCTAGGTTAGGTCTCTTCTAATTTGTTCCTAAAGCTCCCTAAATATCAGCATGACACTAGTCACATTCACAATTTTTTGTTCAAAGATCATTTCCCAGGTTAGACAAGACACTCCAAAGGCAAGAAGGGGATGTATCTGTCTTATTCATTCTTTTTTTTTTTTTTTTTTTTTTTTTTTTGAGAAAAAGTCTCACTCTTGTCCCCCAGGCTGGAGTGTGATGGTGCGAACTCAGCTGACGGCAACCTCCACCTCCCAGGTTCAAGTGATTCTCCTGCCTCAGCCTCCTGAGTAGCTGGGATTACAGGCATGCGTGACCACACCCAGCTAATTTTTGTATTTTTAGTAGAGACGGGGTTTCACCATGTTGGCCAGGCTAGTCTCGAACTCCTGACCTCAGGAGATCCACCCACCTCGGCCTCCCAAAGTGCTGGGATTACAGATGTGAGCCACCACACCCAGCCTGTCTTATTCATTCTCGAACACAGAACACCTCACATGGAAATTACAAATACATATTTATTGGGTAAATGAATCAATGAACTATCGTGGGGAAACTGGAAAAGATTCATAGGACAGTCCCAGACTTCAGAACAAGGTTGCATCTGACAATAAAATTATGAGATGCAAAATAAAGTAGATTAGATTGGCCACCTAGAGAGTAAACAGAACATGGGTAGCTGAGGAGATGAAGAAACACCCAAGCCCAGGCTAGGTTGATTGGAATGTGCTGGCCTTTAGCATTACTGCAAAACAGGGATGCAGAAATGTCAGCGGTGTGTTATATAACAAGTATTTTTGCCACCTGTAATAAATCATCATGGCACATATCCCAAAAGCTTTCCTCTCCAAAGGGAGCCTGGGATCCAAGTTGCCTAGATAATTTTAGCGGTGCCCCCTTTTGGTACATGTCTGAAGAACAATGGTTCTCCCATGTTGTTGCTTTATTCACTTCTTATTTGGCTGAAGGGGAGGGAAACAGGGTAGGGAGTTGAGGCAAGTAGGTCAGCAACACATGCCAAAAAGGACTAGAGATTAAAACACATGTTTATGGCTGGCAAAGGGCCCCTTCCCACAATCTATCTGGAGAGTAGAAAATAGCTCACCATGAAATATTAAATAAGTGAACTTGCTACAAGCACCCACAGTACAGTTTCTAAAATATACTCACACATTTCTGAGCCTCCTAATTAATCAGAGGAAGTTGGAACCTCACGGCATTGTAGACAGCTCTAACAAGCTGGTTTTAAAGGAGTTAAAGAAATGTGTTGATTGGAGCAAGTCAGCATTCACAATAAGGACAGAATGTTCTCAAACGCATCGAGGCAGTTCTGTAGTGGAGAAGGAAGTGAACTTGGGCCTACCGGGAGATGAATGCCTTTCTCCAGAATCCCAGCCTCAAAACTTCCCTTTTTGAACTGTCTTCACAGCCTCTTATTGGGATACCAATACCTGCATTTTAGTTTGTGTTCCTCAGACTGCCAGGTGGAACGAGTACAAAGGAGTAGCAAGTGGCAGAGGAAGCCTGCAGGGAGAAAGGAGTGGGGTCCCCTGACGGCCTGCAGAGCCACAAACAGAGGAAAAAAAGTCATCCTTCTCATTTCTGCAGAAAGTGAAAGAGGGGCAAAAGATCCGCAAATTAGTTCATTATGAACGCCTTTGTGAATAACCTCCACGTTTGCTCTCGAGTAGATTTCATAATTCTTTCAATAGCTTTGAGAATAAAATGGGTAAAAAGTTAACTTCCTTTTGGTCCTCTTATCAAGAGTAAATAAAGTTCAACTTTGCATTTTCTCAGTTTAGCCAGCCCCCCTTCCTGGGACCCAGTGATCAAGTATGTGATTGAGAGAATTCAATAAACATGAGGAAATGGGACCTGTTTGGGAACAAAGATCCCAACGGGCTCTTCTCCAAAGAGAACCTGACTCTTCCCTGACACCATTCACAAGCCTCGGCTGGAGAGGCTTTCTTACCTTTGCAGGCAGGTGCTGAGCCACCAGGCGGGCCTGGCCTGACCCTAGAACTGCAGTGTGCTTCCCTTTTAAATAAACTAAGCTGAGCAGGAAGACAAGAAGAAAGATAATGTCCGTGATGAATGGGCAGTCAGGCTAGCTGGCTTTCCAAACTCGGTTCCTCCAGCATCCCTCTAGGTGACCTTGTCTAAATTATCTCCTGTTTCGAGGCCTTGGCTTCGCATTCTGTACAATGCAGATGACAATTTCACCCTTACCTTGTTTGCTGGTTCAGCATCAAACTGCCATCCGACCTCATGGTTGCATGGAGGGCATCTGACCTTCATGTAATATCAGACAGAATAACCAATATTTCCAGTCAATGCTTATGTTAAAAAAGAAATAAGCATTTCATCCAAATAACCTGAAAAAAAAGACAAAATCGGTATTTCCAACAAAAGTATTAAAAAATCTTTTAAATTTTATAAGCTGTGCATCTGTTACCTACCGAAAAATAACTATTTTGAAAATCGAGTCAACAATTTCAGAGCTTTTCCACTAATTCTTAATGTATTATTTTACATCAAGACTTAACACCATGGGTTGATTTTGATTAGATGAATGCTTTGTAATTTATCAGTGTTCTCTACTTTACCATCAATCACCTTCCCTAAAACAGCACAACTCAGGGGCTTCAACTGCCCCAGGTGGTGGGATGCTCCTTCCACTCTCTTTCAGCAGGGGGTCTTTACCGGGAGTGATCTCAGAATATATGAAACACCCTTTAGGGACTTGTTTAAAAACCTTGGCTGGGCGCGCTGGCTCACGCCTGTAATCCCAGCACTTTGGGAGGCCGAGGCGGGCGGATCACGAGGCCAAGAGATCGAGACCATCCTGGCTAACACAGTGAAACCCCGTCTCTACTAAAAATAAAAAATAAAATAAAAAGATAAAAAATTAGCCCGGCATGGTGGTGGGCGCCTGTAGTCCCAGCTACTTGGGAGGCTGAGGCAGGAGAATGGCGTGAATCTAGGAGGCGGAGCTTGCAGTGAGCCAAGATCGCAGCACTGCACTCCAGCCTGAGTGACAGAGCAAGACTCCATCTCAATAATGATAATAATAATAATAAATAAAATAAAAACCTTTTGTATACAAAAATTCAGAGCAAAGAATAGCCTATTCCATAAGGGTCATGAGGCCTCAGAGATTATCACATCCAATTACAGATGAGACAACAAAGGCTCACAGAGGTTACATACATTGCCAAAATGTATACAGCTAATTGATGACAAAACTAAGTCTGGAACTCAAGTTCCTTGAAACCCACTACAGTGCATTTTGCAATATATTTTATTTACAGTCAAATTAGGCTAATAAATATTTACTGAGTGCCTTGAAGGCGAAAAACACCATGCTAGGTGAGGTGAGGGATACAAAAATAAAAAAAAAATCACTTTCAGTCCTCCCAGGGCTTGATACTGGGAGAGGAAAGACATTGCTTTAATTTAAGGCAGCTTTGGAAAAACTACAGTATTCCAGATTAAATAGTAAAAGGTTGGGAAAGATGAAAAAAAGTAATTTTGGTTCTGAAGGAACCAAACCCATTGAAGTTTTCTTTTGAGCTCAGCCTTGAAGGATGCTACATTTGACAGGAAGCCATGCAGATAGAAAGCATTCTAGAAGCTCAGGGCACAGTTGTAAAAGTAGATGTGGTTATGAGCTCTCTGCTGATTTCACTAGTTCATTAGAGAAGGTGGTGTCTGAATCTGTAGCGACTGGATACGTGGCTCAGTACTCTGCTCTGGGTGTGCACGGCTAGCCTCTGATCTGTATTCAGTCATAGCATAGGCCATAGGGTTTACCCATTGATGAAAAGCCTAGAGTGTTTGGGTTCATTCCCATCACTTACCAGCAGTGTGATTTTGTGCAAGTTATTGAACCTCTCTCTGCCTCAGTTTCCTCATTTGTAAAGTGGGGATTATAACAATACGTCTCTCTTAAGATTGTCATAAGGGTTAAATTAGTTCATTTAAATAACCTTACACACATGGCTCACACCTGTAATCCCAGCACTTAGGAAGGCTGCGGTGGGTGGATCACTCGAGGTCAAGAGTTTGACACCAGCCTGACCAACATGGTGAAACCCTATCTCTGAAGCTACATCTCTACTAAAAATACAAAAATTAGCTGGACGTGGAGGCGGGCACCTGTAATTCCAGCTCCTCAGGAGGCTGAGGCACAAGAATCGCGTGAACCCAGGAGATGGAGGTTTCAGTGAGGTGAAATCATGCCACTGCACTCCAGCTTGGGCGACAGAGTGAGACTCTGTCTCAAAAAAAAAAAAAAAAAGAAAAGAAAAAAATAAGCTTAGAACAATGTCTGAAACATGGTGAGTGCCAGGTACGTATTTGTTCAAAACATCTAATCTGACTGAAGGCAGCAGATTCTTTCAAAAGATCCCCTAGAGAGGTAAGGAATAGCTGTGAAACATTCCTATTCTATTATTCCACTTAGAAGAAGAAGAGAAATACTCTAGTATTCATTCTGTGATGAATTCTTAAAAAAAAATTTTTTGAGGTAGAGTATCCTAGGTCATTGCCCTGATGCCCTTACTCACTTCTGCTAGCAGGTCCCAACTGTATGAGATGACCCCCCCTAGAATGCACCTCACCCTGAGATGATGGGTTTAGCCTTGCTTGGAATCATAGTTTGCTCTTGGTAATGTACCGAAGTCACATGGAGCTTGATTTTCCATGGCTCAGAATAGATCCTGACCTCGCTGTGGGCTGCTCCCCTGTGCTAATCGTTTCATGTACTCCAGATTGCATTACTACCAGGAATCGATTTTTCAGCTTTTTAAAAGCGTTCTATTTTGGTCAGCCTTCTTCCACTCTTAGAGATGTATTTATTTCCCAGAATGTGTAGCAACTCTTAGACAAAGTAAATTTGGATGACTGAAATGGAAGCAATCTGCTGTCCAGTTGTCGGGAAAGCTGGGAGGTTTTCCTTGGAAAATTCTTTTGTAGGTCAAAGCAAAGGAAATTCATTTATCTCATGTGGAGGATCAAAGTGAAACCATGTAAAATCTAACTGAGATTTGAGAACTTTAGTAAAGGCAGTCACATCTATAGAACTCATCAGTTCATACAGCAGCACTGCCCAATATGGAAGCTACAAGCCAGCTGTAGGAATTAAGCACCTGAAATGTAGCTGATGTGATTGAGGAACTGAATTTCTAATTCTATTACATTTTAATTAATTTAAATTTAAAAACTGATATTCGATTCAGCTACAGAAAACCTTTTTAGGCTTGCGGAGATTTAGGGATGTGAATCTATTTAATCAACTACATTATGCAATCTAAATACGTATCAAGTATTTCTGATGAGAAGTTAGCATCCAAATTGAGATATGCTGTAAGTGTAAAATATGCCAGATTTCATAAACTTAGTAAAGAAAAGAGAATGTAAAGTATCTCCTTAATATTTGAAATGATAATATTTTAGTTATGTTGGGTTAAATAAAATATATCATTAAAATTAAGTTCACTGGTTTCTTCACACTTTTATTGAATGTGGTTTAGAAAAATTTAAATTACATATGTGGCTCATTATATTTGTATTGGACAGTGCTATTAAAGAACAATTTCAAATACATCAATCCATTTGTTCTTTACAACAACCACATGATTTGGTCAAAATAGGTATTGTAATTTCTGTTTGAAAACAAAGGTTCAGGCAGTTGTGGCTCACCCACCCTTGGAATGAAAGACAGAGCCTGATTCCATAACTTCTGATGGAATCCAGGGCAGTGCAATTACTTGGCTTAAGATCAGAAACGAAACTTTGTAAAGACCTCTTAGACTCTCAGACTGAACCTGTTAATTCTGTGCATAAGTGGCTAAAGGGAGACTAACAAATCTCAAGCCTTAAACGAGCAACAATAACGCAAGCAAAGGTCACATGAGCATGCAAACACACAGACATCTGCAATGGGCACATTGCATTTATTTGACCTTCATGGTTATTTGGGGAATCCTTCGAAAAGCATTTCCATACCACAAACAGGGTATCCAATGTTTCATATAGCCATTCCTCTGAATCCTTGAAGGAATGTGGACAGTGAGGTTTGTGCAACAATCACAAGGCCAATAGCAAACTGACTAACCACAGGAAGTTAAAATGGAGGCTAAACACAACAGCAAGAGAAAAACCGTAAAGAACCAAAGAGTAAAACTAATAAATGTCCAATTCATTAATTGAGAAAACCCATAAAACTGTGCAGATAATAAAATTAGAACTTAAAAAATAAAGGGCAATATGTTCATGAATGGAAACATAAATTATTATAAATTGTTACTTCTCACTGGGCACAGTAGCTCACGCCTGTAATCCCAGTACTTTGGGAGGCTGAGGCAGGTGGATCACTTGAGGTCAGGAGTTTGACACCAGCCTGGCCAACGTGGTGAAACCCTGTCTCTACTAAAACTACAAAATTAGCCAGCCATGGTGGCAGGCGCCTGTAATCCCAGCTACTTGGGAAGCTGAGGCAGGAGAATCATTTGAACCCAGGAGACAGTGAGCCCAGATTGCACCACTGCACTCCAGCCTGGGTGACAGAGTGAGACTTGGTCTCCAAAAAAAAAAAAAAAAAAAAAAAAATTGTTACTTCTCGCTCCAATTATCAATTATCAATTTACAAGTAGCACTTAACAAAGGAACATGTTAAACTACTGACTTAGTTCATTTTGTGTTGCTATAACAGAAAACTTGAGACTGGATGATTTACAAAGAAAAGAGATGTATTTAGCTCATGGTTCTGCAGGGTATAAAGTTCAGGATTGGAGCCCACATCTGGTGGCCTCTGGTGGCAGCCTTGTGCTGCATCATAAAATAACAGAGAAGTGAAAGGGAAGGATGCATGTGCAAAATGACACACACAAGAGGCTGGCCTTGCTTTATAACAACCCGCTCAGGCAGGAACTAGTCCATTTCTAAGAGAGTGAGAACTCACTCCCAGGACATAGCAGTAATCAATTCATGAGGGTAGGCCCCTATGATTCAAAAACCTACCACCAGGCCCCATATTCCAACACCGTCAATTGGAAATCAAATTTCAATATGAGTTTTTGATGGGATACACTCAAGCCACAGCAACTATATCATGTAAGAGTGATAGAAATGCAATCAGCAAAATCCATACAGTGAGGAACACCCAGGACAAACAAGACAAACACCTAGATTCTGCAAAAACAATATATGTCAAAATAAAAACAAAAGAAATGGAAAGTTAACATGGATATTAAAAGAAGCTTAAAAGGCAAATCAACAATTATACTTTGTGAATCTTGTTTGAATTCTGAAATTTATGAAACTGTAAAAAAAAAGACACCTATGAAGCAATTGGAAATTTGAACATTAGATAGTTGATGGTATTAAGGAACTATTGTTGAAATTTTTAGCTATGATAGTAGAACTATGGTTATTTTTCAAGGGTCCTTTTAAAGGTATACAGTAAAATATGTGCAAATAAAATATGTCTGATATTAGCCTCAAAGTACTGCAAGAGAAATTTAAACTCTGGTACAATCATAAGTTAGTGTTAATTCTATACCGGTAAAAATAATTGAGGACATAGAAGAATATACACTAGTGGCCCTTGCCACAGACTAACTATTCTTCTAAAAATCTTGCTACCAGAGATTTCTGCTTTTGGCTATGATGAAGTAAATGGCATCAGATTAGCTTTCTCACTTTAAATAACAATAAAATTGGTCAAAATATAGGACACAAATATAGTGCACATATAGACTGCAACCTTATGAGAAGATATAAAATTAGGTAAGCCTAACAATTATCTTTTCTTTCTGCTTGGACACCCATTCCAGAGCATAAAACTGAGAGGTGGGTTTGTGAGCAGAGCAGTGTTCTTACAAAGTTAAAAAGACAGATATCCAAGTTTGGATAGGCTCGGATATCTGGAATAGGCAGGCTGGAGTACTTGGGAGAAGGTATTACGCTGAGAAACAAGTTCCACAAATCTGGAAAGGAGTCTCCTTAAGTTTTGTATGAATATTAAGCAGTGAATGAATAGGATAAGATCACACAAGGCTGGGTAAAGAATAACAACTAAAGAATAATCAATTAATCAATAAATTGAAGAATAGCTACCAGCGTTCACACAGAACTGGGAGACATTCAAATTCCCTCCAGACAAGTGAAAGTTCTCATTAAAACAGTTGGAGAATTCTACAGAGACCGCAGAAAGGGCATTATTTACTGTGGCACTGAAATCACCCTAGAATTAAGAGTCTAAAACCACCCTAACAACGTTTCAAAAACAAGCCTCAAAGGATCAAACTATTCTGGAATTAAAGTAACTCCCGGCCAGAATAAAGCCCAACACTGTTTACATAAACACAACAAAATCCAGACACTCAACAAGTAACATTCTAAATATCTCACGTATAATCAAGCATTACTAGTCATGTGGAAAAGCAGAAACATGTGGCTCATATCCTGGAGAAAAATCAGACATTTAAAACAAACACATAAATGATGTGTAGATAAAAGTAGCAGAAAATACTTCAAGATATTATAAATATGTACAAGGATTTAAAGGAAAACATGAACACAATGGACACTTCATGTTGTTTCTGAGCTAAATCAAGAAGACAAATCTAATGTATAGTGACAGAAGGCAGATCATCAGTTGCCTGGAGGTGGTGATATGAGATTGCCTGGAATGAGGCTGTAGCAATTATTTTAGAGTGATGCAAATGTTCTATAACTTGTTTGAGGTGATGATTATACTAAAAAATTATCAAAATGTACACATAAAATGGATGCATTTTATTAGTATGAATATACTTATATGATGTATTTTATTATATACATTATATTAGTATACTTAGTATGGTATATTTAGTATATAAATTATATATCAAAGTTGATTTGAAAAGCTCAAAAACTAGGTAAAAACAAAGGGAAGAAAGAGGATAGGTTGTGAACCTATGGAGATTGACCATAGATTGATCTGGAGGGCTGGATGATGGCTACATGGTGATTTGCTACATTATTCAATATACACTTTTAATCTTTGAAATTCCTTATATTTTTTAAAGAAGAAGACAACTAGGCTGCTGGTTTTGTCAGAGGGAATGTAAAATTGCAGATAATCTTTTTTTAACTTCCCATAACCTTTTATTTTTTTAAAAAAAAATATGTATTTTTCATTTACAACCTTGATTCTCATTTCTTTTTCACTACCCCTTCATAGACACCTAATCGGTAAATATCCTTGGATAATTGTGTCTTGGAAACTTTTAGCATTGCCATTTGTACTTTTTTGTATTTTAAATTTATTTATTGAACTGTGCAGTAGGTCTCATTCTCTTTCCTTTTTTTCACTCAATACTATTTAGATCTATCCATGACACTATACGTAACTGTTATTCATTCCTTCTATTTCAAGAGTTTTACTCATTCATTCCCCCTAGTGATGGCTGACTCAAGAACCTCCTATTCCTCACTCTTAAAAAAAAAACCCGAGGAAAACATTCTTGTGTATGTCTTACTATGTATCTATCTACTGAGGTTTCTGTCAAATTTGGCCAGGAGTGGAATTGCTATCTGTTAGACCATATACATATCTAATTTCTACAAGGATCCCTTCCACAAAACCACTGAATAACTTCCCATCCTATTCAGAGTGAAATACAAAGTTGTCAAAACACCTACAAGGCCCTTTTCTATCTCCTCCAATTTACCTCTCTTACTGCATCTTCTCTTATTCTCCTCTTCATTTCCTCAGATCAGGCCACACTAACCTTGCTTTCCTTAAATATCTTAAGCATGCTCTCCACTTATGTCCTTGTGCTTGCCATGAACTCTGCCTTAGGACTCTCTTCTCCAGGGTATACATGTGATTTATCTCTCACTGGGCTTTGCTCAAATGTCTCCTCCTCAATAGGGTCTTCCCTAACCACCAAATTTAAACTTGTAATTGTTTCCTTTTCTTTTGACCACCTACTTTACTCTCATCCTGTCTTTATTTTTTCTATGCCTCTTATTACCATCTAACATACCTTAGTTTAACATTTTGTTTGCTGTTTTCTCTGTCCACTAGATTATAAGCTTAAGGAAGGCAAATATTTCTATATGTTTTGTTCACTCACTGCTGATTTCCTAGCCCTTAAAATAGTTTAAATATTTGTTGATTAAAATACTTCCAGATTTATCTCTAGAATGGCTATACCAGTCTTTACTACTGTGAGCAGCATGAAGATTCTCGTTTCTCTCGTTCCAGCACAGTATTTGGTGTTATATGACTTTAGCTTTTACCATATAGAAAATGTTTTTGATATTTTGTTTTGATTTTCTTTTTCTTTTTTTATTTTATTTTATTATTATTATACTTTAAGTTTTAGGGTACATGTGCACAACGTGCAGGTTTGTTACATATGTATACATGTGCCATGTTGGTATGCTGCACCCATTAACTTGTCATTTAGCATTAGGTATATCTCCTAATGCTATCCCTCCCCGCTACCCCCACTCCACAATAGTCCCCAGTGTGTGATGTTCCCCTTCCTGTGTCCATGTGTTCTCATTGTTCAATTCCCACCTGTGAGTGAGAACATGCGGTGTTTCGTTTTTTTGTCCTTGTGATAGTTTCCTGAGAATGATGGTTTCTAGTTTCATCCATGTCCCTACAAAGGACATGAAGTCATCATTTTTTATGGCTGCATAGTATTCCATGGCGTATATGTGCCACATTTTCTTAATCCAATCTATCATTGTTGGACTTTTAGGTTGGTTCCAAGTCTTCGCTATTGTGAATAGTGCCGCTATAAACACACGTGTGCATGTGTCTTTATAGCAGCATGATTTATAATCCTTTGGGTATATACCTAGTAATAGGATGGCTGGGTCAAATGGTATTTCTAGTTCTAGATCCCTGAGGAATCGCCACACTGACTTCCACAAGGGTTGAACTAGTTTACAGTCCCACCAACAGTGTAAAAGTGTTCCTATTTCTCCACATCCTCTCCAGCACCTGTTGTTTCCTGACTTTTTAATGATTGCCATTCTAACTGGTGTGAGATGGTATCTCATTGTGGTTTTGATTTGCATTTCTCTGATGGCCAGTGATGGTGAGCATTTTTTCATGTGTTTTTTGGCTGCATAAATGTCTTCTTTTGAGAAGTGTCTGTTCATGTCCTTCACCCACTTTTTGATGAGGTTGTTTGTTTTTTTCTTGTAAATTTGTTTGAGTTCATTGTAGATTCTGAATATTAGCCCTTTGTCAGATGAGCAGGTTGCAAAAATTTTCTCCCATTCTGTAGGTTGCCTGTTCACTCTAATGGTAGTTTCTTTTGCGGTGCAGAAGCTCTTTAGTTTAATTAGATCCCATTTGTCAATTTTGGCTTTTGTTGCCATTGCTTTTGGTGTTTTAGACATGAAGTCCTTGCCTGTGCCTATGTCCAAAATGGTATTGCCTAGGTTTTCTTCTAGGGTTTTTCTGGTTTTAGGTCTAACATTTAAGTCTTTAATCCATCCTGAATTAATTTTTGTATAAGGTGTAAGGAAGGGATCCAGTTTCAGCTTTCTACATATGGCTAGCCAGTTTTGCCAGCACCATTTATTAAATAGGGAATCCTTTCCCCATTGCTTGTTTTTGTCAAATTTGTCAAAGATCAGATAGTTGTAGATATGCAGCATTATTTCTGAGGGCTCTGTTCTGTTCCATTGGTCTATATCTCTGTTTTGGTACCAATACCATGCTGTTTTGGTTACTGTAGCCTTGTGGTATAGTTTGAAGTCAGGTAGCGTGATGCCTCCAGCTTTGTTCTTTTGGCTTAGGATTGACTTGGTGATGCGGGCTCTTTTTTGGTTCCATATGAACTTTAAAGTAGTTTTTTCCAATTCTGTGAAGAAAGTCATTGGTAGCTTGATGGGGATGCCATTGAATCTATAAATTACCTTGGGCAGTATGGCCATTTTCATGATATTGATTCTTCCTACCCATGAGCATGGAATGTTCTTCCATTTGTTTGTATCCTCTTTTATTTCATTGAGCAGTGGTTTGTAGTTCTCCTTGAAGAGGTCCTTCACATCCCTTGTAAGTTGGATTCCTAGGTATTTTATTCTCTTTGAAGCAATTGTGAATGGGAGTTCACTCATGATTTGGCTGTTTGTCTGTTATTGGTGTATAAGAATGCTTGTGATTTTTGTACATTGATTTTGTATCCTGAGACTTTGCTGAAGTTGCTTATCAGCTTAAGGAGATTTTGGGCTGAGACAATGGGGTTTTCTAAATATACAATCATGTCATCTGCAAACAGGGACAATTTGACTTCCTCTTTTCCTAATTGAATACCCTTTATTTCCTTCTCCTGCCTGATTGCCCTGGCCAGAACTTCCAACACTATGTTGAATAGGAGTGGTGAGAGAGGGCATCCCTGTCTTGTGCCCGTTTTCAAAGGGAATGCTTCCAGTTTTTGCCCATTCAGTATGATATTGGCTGTGGGTTTGTCATAAATAGCTATTATTTTGAGATACATCCCATCAATACCTAATTTATTGAGAGTTTTTAGCATGAAGGGTTGTTGAATTTTGTCAAAGGCCTTTTCTGCATCTATTGAGATAATGTGTGGTTTTTGTCTTTGGTTCTGTTTATATGCTGGATTACATTTATTGATTTGCGTATGTTGAAGCAGCCTTGCATCCCAGGGATGAAGCCCACTTGATCATGGTGGATAAGCTTTTTGATGTGCTGCTGGATTTGGTTTGCCAGTATTTTCCTAAGGATTTTTGCATCGATGTTCATCAAGGATATTGGCCTAAAATTCTCTTTTTTGGTTGTGTCTCTGCCTGGCTTTGGTATCAGGATGATGCTGGCCTCATAAAATGAGTTAGGGAGGATTCCCTCTTTTTCTATTGATTGCAATAGTTTCAGAAGGATTGGTACCAGCTCCTCTTTGTACCTCTGGTAGAATTCGGCTGTGAATCTATCTGGTCCTGGACTTTTTTTAGTTGGTAAGCTATTGATTATTGCCTCAATTTCAGAGCCTGTTATTGGCCTAGTCAGAGATTCAACTTCTTCCTGATTTAGTCTTGGGAGGATGTATGTGTCGAGGAATTTATCCATTTCTTCTAGATTTTCTAGTTTATTTGCATAGAGGTGTTTATAGTATTCTCTGATGGTAGTTTGTATTTCTGTGGGATTGGTGGTGATATCCCCTTTATCATTTTTTATTGCATCTATTTGATTTTTCTCTCTTTTCTTTTTATTGGTCTTGCTAGCGATCTATCAATTTTGTTGATCTTTTCAAAAAACCAGCTCCTGGATTAATTTTTTTTTTTTTTTTTTGATACAGCGTCTGGCTCTGTCGCCCAGGCTGGAGTGCAGTGGCGCGATCTCGGCTCACTGCAAGCTCCGCCTCCTGGGTTCACGCCATTCTCCTGCCTCAGCCTCTCAAGTAGCTGGGACTACAGGAGCCCGCCACCGCTCCCGGCTAATTTTTTGTATTTTTAGTAGAGACGGGGTTTCACTGTGTTAGCCAGGATGGTCTCGATCTCCTGACTTCATGATCCACCCGCCTCAGCCTCCCAAAGTGCTGGGATTACAGGCGTGAGCCACCACGCCCGGCCGATTCATTAATTTTTTGAAGAGTTTTTTTGTGTCTCTATTTCCTTCAGTTCTGCTCTGATCTTAGTTATTTCTTGCCTTCTGCTAGCTTTTGAATGTGTTTGCTCTTGCTTTACTAGTTCTTTTAATTGTGATGTTAGGGTGTCAATTTTAGATCTTTCCTGCTTTCTCTTGTGGGCATTTAGTGCTATAAATTTCCCTCTACACACTGCTTTGAATGTGTCCCAGAGATTCTGGTATGTTGTGTCTTTGTTCTCATTGGTTTCAAAGAACATCTTTATTTCTGCCTTCATTTCATTATTTATCCAGTAGTCATTCAGGAGCAGGTTGTTCCGTTTCCATGTTGTTGAGCAGTTTTGAATGAGTTTCTTAATCCTGAGTTCTAGTTTGATTGCAGTGTGGTCTGAGAGACAGTTTGCTATAATTTCTGTTCTTTTACATTTGCTGAGGAGAGCTTTACTTCCAACTATATGGTAAATTTTGGAGTAGGTGTGGTGTGGTGCTGAAAAGAATGTATGTTCTGTTGATTTGGGGTGGAGAGTTCTGTAGATGTCTATTAGGTCCTCTTGGTGCAGAGCTGAGTTCAATTCCTGGATATCCTTATTAACTTTCTGTCTCGTTGATCAGTCTAATGTTGACAGTGGGGTGTTAAAGTCTCCCATTATTATTGTGTGGGAGTCTCAGTCTCTTTGTAGGTCACTAAGGACTTGCTTTATGAATCTGGATGCTCCTGTATTGGGTGCATATATATTTAGTATAGTTAGCTCTTCTTGTTGAATTGATCCCTTTACCATTATGTAATGGCCTTCTTTGTCTCTTTTGATCTTTGTTGGTTTAAAGTCTGTTTTATCAGAGACTAGGATTGCAACCCCTGCCTTTTTTTGTTTTCCATTTGCTTGGTAGATCTTCCTCCATCCCTTTATTTTGAGCCTATGTGTGTCTCTGCACGTGAGATGGGTTTCCTGAATATAGCACACTGATGGTCTTGACTCTTTATCCAATTTGCCAGTCTGTGTCTTTTAATTGGAGCATTTAGCCCATTTACATTTAAAGTTAATATTGTTATGTGTGAATTTCATCCTGTCATTATGATGTTAGCTGGTTATTTTGCTCGTTAGTTGATGCAGTTTCTTCCTAGCCTCGATGGTCTTTATAATTTGGCATGTTTTTGCAGTGGCTGGTACCGGTTGTTCCTTTCCATGTTTAGTGCTTCCTTCAGGAGCTCTTTTAGGGCAGGCCTGGTGGTGACAAAATCTCTCAGCATTTGCTTGTCTGTAAAGGATTTTATTTCTCCTTCACTTATGAAGCTTAGTTTGGCTGGATATGAAATTCTGGGTTGAAACTTCTTTTCTTTAAGAATGTTGAATATTGTTCTCCACTCTCTTCTGGCTTGTAGAGTTTCTGCTGAGAGATCAGCTGTTAGTCTCATGGGCTTCCCTTTGTGGGTAACCTGACCTTTCTCTCTGGCTGCCCTTAACATTTTTTCCTTCATTTCAACTTTGGTGAATCTCACAATTATGTGTCTTGGAATTGCTCTTCTGGAGGAGTATCTTTGTGGCGTTCTCTGTATTTCCTGAATTTGAATGTTGGCCTGCCTTGCTAGATTGGGGAAGTTCTCCTGGATTATATCCTGCAGAGTGTTTTCCAACTTGGTTCCATTCTCCCCATCACTTTCAGGTACACCAATCAGACCTAGATTTGGTCTTTTCACGCAGTCCCATATTTCTTGGAGGCTTTGTTCATTTCTTTTTATTCTTTTTTCTCTAAACTTCTCTTCTCGCTTCATTTCATTCATTTCATCTTCCATCACTGATACCCTTTCTTCCAGTTGATCACATCGGCTACTGAGGCTTCTGCATTCATCATGTAGCTCTCGTGCCTTGGTTTTCAGCTCCATCAGGTCCTTTAAGGACTTCTCTGCATTGGTTATTCTAGTTATCCATTCGTCTAATTTTTTTTCAAAGCTTTTAACTTCTTTGCCATTGGTTCGAATTTCCTCCTGTAGCTCGGAGTAGTTTGATCGTCTGAAGCCTTCTTCTCTCAACTCGTCAAAGTCATTCTCCGTCCAGCTTTGTTCCGTTGCTGGTGAGGAGCTGTGTTCCTTTGGAGGAGGAGAGGTGCTCTGATTTTTAGAGTTTCCAGTTTTTCTGCTTTGTTTTTTCCCATCTTTGTGGTTTTATCTACCTTTGGTCTTTGCTGATGGTGACGTACAGATGGGTTTTTGGTGTGGATGTCCTTTCGGTTTGTTAGTTTTCCTTCTAACAGACAGGACCCTCAGCTGCAGGCCTGTTGGAGTTTGCTAGAGGTCCACTCCAGACCCTGTTTGCCTGGGCATCAGCAGCGGTGGCTGCAGAACAGCAGATATTGGTGAAACGCAAATGCTGATGTCTGATCGTTCCTCTGGAAGTTTTGTCTCAGAGGAGTACCAGGCCATGTGAGGTGTCAGTCCACCCCTACTGGGGGATGCCTCCCAGTTAGGCTACTCGGGGGTCAGGAAGCCACTTGAGGAGGCAGTCTGCCCATTCTCAGATCTCAAGCTGCATGCTAGGAGAACCACTACTCTCTTCAGAGCTGTCAGAGAGGGACATTTAAGTCTGCAGAGGTTACTGCTATCTTTTTGTTTGTCTGTGCCCTGCCCCCAGAGGTGGAGCCTACAGAGGCGGGCAGGCCTCCTTGAGCTGTGGTGGGCTCCACCCAGTTCGAGCTTCCTAGCCGCTTTGTTTACCTAATCAAACAACTAACTGGGCAATGGCTGTCACCCCTCCCCCAGCCTCGCTGCTGCCTTGCAGTTTGATCTCGGACTGCTGTGCTAGCAATGAGCGAGACTCCGTGGGCTTAGGACCCTCCGAGCCAGGTGCGAGATATAATCTCCTGGTGTGCCGTTTTCTAAGCCCATTGGAAAAGCTCAGTATTAGGGTGGGAGTGACCTGATTTTCCAGGTGCCGTCTGTCACCCCTTTCTTTGACTAGGAAAGGGAATTCCCTGACCCCTTGCACTTCCCAGGTGAGGTGATGCCTCGCCCTGCTTCGGCTCGCTCACGGTGCGCTGCACCCAGTGTCCTGAACCTACTGTCTGGCACTCCCCAGTGAGATGAACCTGGTAGCTCAGTTGGAAATGCAGAAATCACCCATCTTCTGCATCGCTCACGCTGGGAGCTGTAGACCGGAGCTGTTCCTATTCGGCCATCTTGGCTCCTATCCTCTTGATTTTATTTTTCTAATTACTTGTGAAGTTGAGCATTTCCTTATTTATTTATAGATTACTTAAATTTCCCCTCTGTGAATTTCCAAGTTATTACCATTCCCTTTTTTTTCTATTGAGTTTCTCAGTTTTATTGTTGATTAACAAAGTTCTTCGATGGTTTGACTATCGTACATATTAATCTCTTCAGTTTTTGACATTGAAATATCTTCTTCCAATCTGTCACCCATCTAATCCAAGGCTCATTTCTATTGATATTATTTATGGTGTTTTTAGGGAACAATAATCATATACTTTGATATAGTCAGATTCATAAATTTTGCTTAATAATGTTTTTCCAAATCTACTTCTTTGAGGTATAATTCCCACACAGTAAAATACACTACCTTTAAAGTGTACAATATGATTATTTTTGACAAATAAATTACCGACATAACCACCACACAATCATGACATAGAACATATTCATCTCTTCAAACAATTCCCTTATACCCATTTCAAGTATGATAGATCCTGGCCTCAAGACCATTGACCTATTTTCTATTACAGTTGGTTGGTTTAGTATGTTCTTGAAATGTATTTACATGGAATCATACCATATGTACTCCTTTGTATTGCTTATTTTACTTAGGATAAGGTTTTGGAGCTACATCCATGTTGTGTTTGTCAGTGTATTTATCCATTCTCGTGCTGATGGACATTTGGGTTGTTTTCAGTTTGGGACTTTTATAAAAATAAAGCACGAAGAACATTTATGTACAAGTTTTTGTGTAGACATATGTTTTAATTTACTGGGGGTAGATACCTAGGAGTGGAATTGCTGGTTCATGTGGTAATCACATGTTTAACTTTATAAGAAACTGCCAGGCAGTTCTCCAAAGTGGTTTCACTCAAATCTACCAATTTTCCACAGTTCGTTTTGTGCTTTTGTGGTCTTGTTTAAGAAGTTCTTCCTCACTAAGAAGGTCATAAGAATAGTCTGTGGTGTTTTTTGTTTTTGTTTTTTTTTCTATTAGCTTTACAGTTTTACTTTTTACATTTGGGCCTTTAATTCATCTGCCATTCACATTTGTAAATGGCATGCAATAAAAAAATCCAACTTTACTCTTCTGCATAGAGTGAGCCAGTTGTCCTTCCACCATCCAATTTACAATCAATATTTTCTCCACTGATTTTGTTGGCACTTCCATAATATATTATTCATCTACATACATGGCTGGTATTTAAACTGTATGTTTTATTTTTATATTTCTACAGCAGTATCACATTTTGTTTTAAATTCCTGTGCCTTACAGTATGTCTTCATATCTGATAGATTATATGGTAGTTACATTTCTTTACTTTTTTATGAAATTTACTTAGCCATGGGCTTATTCATTCAAAACTTTGAATTTTAAGTATGAACTTTGTTTTCATTTTGTTGATTTTTTTCAAAAATAACTTAGGAAAAAATTAATTTTAAATTTCATTGAATTTAAATTTGAAAGAAAAGTTTTATATTTGTCATATTAACTTATTCAAATACAGGATAACTCTTCATTTATGTCTTTTTGGGTTTTCAAATTTTCCACAAGGAGCTATAGAGTTCCATTAATTTTATATGTATCATAAGTTTTTATGCTATTTAGAATATTATAATTTTTATTTTCTTGTAATTATCACTTAAGTAGGAGAACACTATAACTTTTTTAGAAGTCTCTTATTAGTCCTAATAGCCTGGTTTTATAATATTTTCTGTGTAGATAATCTTATCATCTATGTATAATAAGAGTTGTATCTCCTTTCTCTCTAATGCTATACCTTTTACATCCTTTTTGTTTTTTATTATATCTTCCAAGACCTCCAATACTTTGTTGAGCTGTAACAATAATAGTGGACATCCTCATTTTATTCCTGACATTAGAGAAAATACATCTAAAGTTTTCCTGTTGAATATTAGGCTTGATGTATTTTTTATATAATGTTAAGGATTTTTTAAAATTCCTTGTTATTTGATAGCTTTCAATTATAAATAGGTTTTAAACTTCATCATAGTTTTTTTCAGAATCTACTGAGACAATAATTTTTTCCCTTTTCATTTCAGGTAAAAATTCTACACAATATTGATGCATTATTTAATACATTGTTTGTTTTAGTTTACCATCTATTTAGAATCTATGTACTTACGTTTATAAGTACAATAGGACTACAGTTTTATTTTGGGGGGTAATACCTATACCTGGATTTTGGAATCAAAGTTATACTTCCCTCACAATGTGACTTGAGAAGACATCTGCCCTTGTATGCTGTATAACACAAGGGTTATCTCTTCCTTGAACTCACCTGTAAATTATCTGAGCCTATGACTTGCAGGGAGTTGGGAGGAGAGAGCATCAGTATACAATAATGATGTAATATCTGTGTCAGCAGGGTCGTAAAAGGACAAGGGAAAGAGAGTGAAACTGAAAAACCATTCAAAGAAATATAGCTGAATAATTTCTGCATTTGGTAAAAGACATAAACCTATGATTCAAGAAGTTGAGTGAACGCCAAACGAAATAAACCCAAAGAAATTCATATCAAAACACATCATAATAAAATATTTGAAAACTAAAGACAAAATAATCTTGAAAGCAGAGAGAGAGAGAAATTATGCACTACCCATAAGAGAAAAAAAAAATTTGAATGATAGCATATCTCTTGTCAGAAATCAAGGAGGCCGTAAGAAAGTGGTAAAACATTATTCAAATAATGAAAACAAATAAAACTATTACTCCAGAATTCTAACCAGTGAAAATATCCTTCAGGAATGAAAGTAAAATAAAGTTATTTTCAGACGAACAAAATCAAAGGGAATTTGTTGTCAGCAGACTTACTCCAAAAGCTTTGCTAAAAACATTTTTCAGATAGAAATGATAATATAAGGAAACTATGAGAATCAGGAAAACAACAAATGACAATGCAAAGAGTAGATATGTGGATAAATATATTTACCTCTTAAATTTTTTAAAATTTTACTTATGTTTAATTAAACATAAACATATAATGTAAAAATTATAACATTATATTCTATAATTCTCAATGTAATACTTGAGATAACTATATTGTAACGGGGAAAGGAAAGGAAAAGGAACTGATAGCAACAAGGTATTTATAATTCTCCTTGAAGTGGTGATGGTAAAATGTTGATACTAGTAGACTGCAAAAAGACTATGTATGTGTATGGTAATCCCTGAGGTGATTATTTAAAAATACAGAAATAGGTATACTAAAACAAATTATAGATAGATCAAATTGATTTCTAAAAAATATTTATTCTACAAGAAGAAAGGAAAGGGGAAACAGAAGATTGAAAATAGAACAAACAAAAAGCAAAAAATGAAATTGCAGATTTAAATTCCAACATATCAGTAAATTCATTAAAAGTTAGTCATCTAAAGGTACCATTTAAGAGATTGAGATTGACAGAATTAATTAAAAAGAAGAAAAAAGTGGCATTGGGGAACATGATCCAACTATATGCTGTTTACAAAAAAACTAACTTCACATATAATTACAGTCATAGATTAAAATAAAGTAAGCCTGGGCAACATAGCAAGATCTCATGTCTAAAAAAATTTAAAATTAACCAGGCATCGTGGCACATGATTATAGTCTCAGCTACACAGGAGGTTGAGGTGGGAGGATTGCTTCAACCCAGAAGGTTGTGATACAGTGAGCCATGATCATGCCACTGCACTCCAGCTTGGACAACAGAGTGAGACCCTGTCTCAAAAACAAAAAATAAATAAGAATTTAAAAATAAAGTAAAAGGGTGGGAAAAAATACCATGCAGATACTAATAAAAAGAGAGCTGAAGTGGCTATGTTAATAGATGAAAGAACAAAAAAAAATTAGCAGAGTCAAATAAGGACATCATATGATAAAAGGGTGAATTCACTAAGAAGACATAACAATGTTAAATGTGTATGCACCATAAAACAAAGCTGCAAAATGTATGAAACAAAAACTACCAGAGAAAAATGGAGAGAGAGAAAAATCCACAAATATAGTTGAAGACTTCAGAACCCCTCTCTCAGTAATTGATAGAACCATGAGACAAAATTTTAGCATGAATCTAGAACAACTGAACAATACCTTCAACTAATGGGATCAAACTGACTATTTATAAATTGCACCCAAAGACAACAGAATACACATTCTTTTCAAATGTTCATGGGACGTTCATAAAACAAACATTAACAAATTTAAAAGAATTACAATCATGCAAATTATATTATCTTACTATCATGGAATCAAAGTAGAAATTAATAAAAGAAAGGTAGCAGAAAAATCCAAACACTTGGAAAGGGAACAAGGTATTTCTAAATGATCCATGGCTCAAACAGAAAAATCTCAAAGCAAATTTAAAATTTAAAAATACATATAACTGAAATGAAATAAAAATATAACACATTAAAATATGGGGGATGCAGCTAAAACAGTTCTGAAAAGGAAATCTATAGCACTAACTGCTTATATTGTAAAAGAAAAAGCAGGTTAATAATCTAAAATTTCACCTAAAGAAACTAGAAAAACTCAAAATAGGCAAAAGGAATGATATAATAAAAATAAGTCCAGAAGTCAATAAAATTTAAAACAAAACAGTAAAGAAACTATAACAAGACAGAAAATTCATCAAATATAAAGCAGATACTTTAAAAAAAATAGTAAATTCAAAAAACTTTCAGCAAATCCAACAAAGTTAAAAAGAGAAGATACGTTAACAATACTGGAACTAAAAGGGGATATCACTACAGACCCAACAGACATTAAAAAAAAAAAATATCAAAGTACTACAAATTACTCTGCATATGTAAATTTGACAATTGAAATGAAATTGACTGATTCATTCAAAATGGCACACTACCAAAACTCACTCAAGATAAAATAGATAAGGCATGTAATTCTATAGTATTAGAGAAATTGAATTTATTATTTTTTTATAAAAGAAGTAACAAAAACTGCAGGCCCATATCCTTCTTGAACAAAGATGCAAAAAAATCCCCATCAAAATATTAGCAACTCAAATGCAGAAATACGTAAAAATAATAGAACACCATGACCAAATTGGGTTTATTGCAGGAATAAAAGACTAGTTTAATATTTGATACTATGATGTTGGGAGTCTCTTTATGGGAGAAGGAGGAAGAAATCTTGAAGACCCTTTTCCCCATTCTGGCTCAATACTCAGTACTTTTCTACTAGTAGTTTCCCACCCTCACTCTCTCCCCAAACTAAGGGTCCATAAAAAAAAAAACAGAACCTTTTGTTTAGGGCTCCCTTAACAATGAGACGGAAGTCAAAGAAGAACTAAATTAGTGAAGAGACAGATTGGAAGACTCAACATAGTAAAGATATCTATTTTCCTTCAATTGATCTATAGGGTTAAAGCAATTTCTATCAAAATCATAGAAAGATTACTTGCAGGTATTGACAGGCTGATGCTAACAAACATTTACATAAAAAGGCAAAGAAACTACAATAGCCAAAACAATTTTAAATAGAAGAGTGAAGGTAGAGGAATAACATGACCTGATTTTGACTTATACAGATGCAATAATCAAGAGTGTTGTATTGGTAAAGGCACAATATAGAGGCATTTCTCACACATTGCTGATATAGTCACCAGAGAAGTTTGGCAGTTTCTTATAAAGTTAAACATATGCTGATCATATGATTCAGAGCACAATGGAGCACAATATAAGGTCCCACGGCAGAGCTGCACAAATATTGCCAACTACTTTTTGGCAAGATGCAAAAGGATTTCAATGGAGAAAGGATTGTTTATTCAACAAATGCTGTTGGAACAATGATAGGCAAAACAATGAACCTCAATCTAAACTTTACATCTTGTACAAAAATTAACCCAAAATGAATTATGTACATAAATGTAAAGCATAAAATTATTGAAACTTTTAGAAGAAAACATTGGAGAAAATCTTCATGGCTAAAGGTTAGGCAGGGGGTTCTTCAACATGACACCAAAGAATGATCCATAAAGAAAAAAGTTAATACATTGAGCTTTATCAAAATTACAAATATGTGTTCTATGAAAGATCCTAAGAAAGTATTTGCAATATTTGCAATGTATATATGTTTTATATATATATATATATATATATATATAAATAACAAAAGTATTCAGAATACATAAAGAACCCTCTAAACTCAACAGTAAAAAAGCAAACAATCTAACTCAAAAATGAGTGGCAAACTTGAACAGACACTACCAAATAGGATACATGGATATGTGGATGACAAACATAAACATGAAAAGATGTTCATTATTAGCCATTAGGAAAATGCAGATTAAAGCTCCAAATACGATATCATTACACATCTATTAGAATGGCTAAAGTTAAAATATTGAAATTAATACTGATGATAAAAATATTTGTAATAACCACATGCTGGTGGAGTGACTGCATTTCTCCCACATTGCTGATATAGTCACCAAAAAAGTTTGGCAGTTTCTTATTAATTAAACATATACTGATCATATGATCCAGCAGTTATACTTCTGCATATATTGCCTAGAAAAATGTAAAGTTGTGTCAACACAAAAACCTGTACACAGATGTTTATAGCAGCTTTACTATAATAGGCAACAACTGGAAACAACACAAATTCACTTCAACAAGTGAATGGATCCGGTACATCTAGCCAGGCACGGTGGCTCACACCTGCAATCCCAGCACTTTGGGAGGCCGAGGCAGGTGGATCACGAGGTCAGGAGTTCAAGACCAGCCTGGCCAAGATGGTGAAACCCCATCTCTCTTAATAATACAAAAAATGGCCAGGTGTGGTGGTGGGTGCCTGTAATCCCAGCTCTTCAGGAGGCTGAGGCAGAGAATTGCTTGAACCTGGGAGGTGGAGGTTGCAGTGAGCCGAGATCGCACCACTGCACTACAGCCTGGGTGACTGACAGAGCAAGACTCCATCTCAAAAAAAGAAAAAAAAAAAAAAAGAATTCTGGTACATCCAGGTCAAGGAATACTATTCAGCAAAAAGGAACAAACTGCTCATACATGTAGCAACTTGAATTTTTTTAAAGTTAATATCAAAGAGTTATCTATTATACAATCCCATTTATATAACATGCTCAAAATGACAAAATTGTAGTGAGAAAGAACAGATCAATAATTGTCAGGGGCTGACAGAAGGGAGGGACTAGTAAGGTATAACATGAAATTTTTTTTTTTGGTGATAGAATATTTCTGTATCCTAATTCTGATGACTCTTCACCAAATCTAACATATGATACAATTTCATAGAACTATACACCATAAAAAGAAGTGCATATAAAAACTGGTGAGATCCAAATAAGATTTGTACTTAAGTAATAGTGTTGTACCAATGTCAGTTTCCTGGTTTTCAAAAGGTACTATGGCTATGTACAATTTTGTCATTAGGGCAAGCTGGTTAAAGGAAACACAGGAACTTTCTGTACTTATTTTTGCAACTGATCATGATATTAAGCTATTTCAAAATCAAAAGTAATAAAAATGAACTTTCAAATATTACTGACTTTTATTTTCTACCATGTACTTACTCTCCCATTTTCTTTGTCAAAAAAGATTTGCACTTTTTTTTTTTTTTTTTTGCTGTTCTTTGAGTGGAGCTTCAGAAGTAGTGATAAACATGTTTGACAAGCAGTCCCTCTATTATAGTTTCTTTTTAATTTATTAAGTAGCTGCTCGAAAGAGTTCATGGACTAGTCTTCATGATATTTGTCTTTTGATATGACATCTATACTTTTATTTCTGTTAAGGATCAATAATTATAACCACTGATTACCCAATCTGGAAAAACAATAAGTTAAGTTAAAAACACTTTCTTTACTTTGTGTTCTTTCATAAATTTACTTTTCAAAATAAAAAAACACATGCAGAAATATATACACATAAAAGTATAATTGATAACTTTTCACAGAATGGACATACTCATACGACCATTGTTCAAATCAAGAAATTAAACATTATTAGTACCTAGAATCCACCTTCTTTGTGCCTTCTCTGAATCACTCAAAAGTTACTCTAACTGTAGAGATGGGAAAAATCTAGCTCAGAGAGGTGAAGGAATTTGCCCAAATACACAGTTAAGAAATGGCAGAGCTACAATTCAAATTCAAGTTTCCTAAACACTAGAGCGTTTTTCACTTCCACTTTTGCTAAGATTTCACTTAGCAATCTTTCCCCTCATATTGGCTGTATTTTCATACTTCATAAGTCTTATCTCCAAAGTTAGTGACCATTTTTTATTTTTATTCATGACATTTTTTAGGCATCAGCAAATAGAATCAGGTAAGTGGCTATTTGGTCTCCTTATCATGCATAGAAACTTTCTAAATTAAAATTGCATTAATTCATTACTTCATTTATTAATTAACAAACTCCATGAGAGGGATTAAAAAAAAACATAGCCCCATCCACCAGAAAAGTAATTGCAAAAATTATTGACTTTAATATAGTGTTGATGATAAAAGTATTAAATAAAAATATGGAATAACCTGATCTAATTCATCCTCTACATGGCCAAAAAAGTCATCTCTCCAAAACACTAATCTAATCATGCATCCTCCCCCAAGGGTCTACACTCTTCCCAACACATATCGCCTAAAGATAAAGTCCACATTCCTTTGTTTAGCATCTGACTTTTTTTTTTTTTTTTTTTGAGACGGAGTCTCGCTCTGTGGCCCAGGCTGGAGTGCAGTGACACAATCTCAGCTCACTGCAACCTCCACCTCCCTGGTTCAAGCAATTCCCCTGCCTCAGCCTCCTGAGTAGCTGGGATTACAGGTGCACACCACCACATCCGGCTAATTTTTTTGTGTTTTTAGTAGAGACAGGGTTTCACCATGTTGGCCAGACTGGTCTCGAACTCCTGACATCAGGCAATCCACCCACCTCAGCTTCCCACAGTGCTGTGATTACAGGAGTGAGCCACCATGCCCGGCCTTGGCATCTGACTTCTAACGAATCCTGCATCTCATTATTCTACTGCTTTCCACCCCCAGCACCACTGAGAGCAGATATGTCTGAATTTGAATGCCGTATCTATCTCTTCCTAAACGTCTGGCCTTGAGCAAATTATGTAACCATTCTCAGTTTCAGTGTCCTTACTTATAAACTAGAGATAAACTTTATTCACAGGGCCTGTAAGGTAAAAGGAGATAAAGAATATAATGCATTTTTGCCCAGTGCTTGGCACATAGTGAGCATTTTGTGAATGGTAATTATGTTAGCTATCAAATTATGCTGGGCTGCTTATAATTCCCTAACAAATGTTATCTAACTGTTTCTTCTGTTTCAGATGTTCTCAGCCTCTCCCTCTTGCCCTTTTTTGTTTCAATAATTTCTGTACCTTCTTCAAAACCCAACACAGACATCATCTTCTTGGGGAAGATTTCCTTGTACTCTCTCTTCTTCCTTCCCCACCTGTTTCCCAGTTATTCGGTCCTTCTTCTGTATTACCTACTTACCATCTATACATATCTCTGGTGTGGTATAATCATGTTGTGTCACAGTCTGCTTACATTTCTTTTCCCCTACGAGCTCCTTCAGGGCAGGGACTATGCTCGATATCTAATATATAGAACGCCCTCAAGAAGTATTTGTTCAATGTAATTGAATTCAAACTGAGTATGGTGAAAATATAGAGAAATAAGTATTTAAATCTACTCAAGGAGACAAAGAAAAATCTTCAAGAAGTGGGTAACATCTTAGCTCATCTTCAGGTATAAGTAGGATTTAGCTGGTCAGTAGAGAAAGGGAGGAGAATACAGGCTCAGAACACTGTGAACAAATGCAAACCAGCATAAAACCCATTGTGTCCAGTATGATAGGCTGTAGAGGGACAAGTGGAGATGAGGCTAGAAAAATCGGTTGAATTTCTGAACTCCATGCTGAGGCATTTCTCCTTCATTCTGCAAACCATAAAGAACCATGCATCTACAATTTTAGTAAATCACTCTTGGGAGTGGAGGGAGGGGAGAGGGCTGGAAAAACAAAAACAAAATGAAGATAGGTAGACCAGTTAAGAGGCTATTGCCTCAGTCAAGCAACAAGACAATAAGGGGCTGAAGTAGTGTGATAGCTGTAGGAATTAAAAGAATGGGACAGATAGGCAGATACTGAGTAGCTAACAGACATGAACTGGTGAATAGGCCCCCGAATAAGAGATGGGGAAGTAAATAAGAAACAACTATGCCAACTGTTGCGGTTCTAGTTTGAGATGAGCTTTTTAACTAAATAAGAACTACAATAGAATCACACATATTAATGTTTCAGCTGTCAGTGATCACTGCTCTGGATCCTTTCCTGACATTCTGAGATACAACACTCCCCTTTTTGTCCCACAATGACATCTTGTCCAAATAGTAACTGCTCCTACAGATAGCAAGTACAGTTAAGCTGTGTGTTAGATATTATAAAGCTGCACTATTACTCAACTTCTGCAATAACCATATAAGTTTGATATTATCTTTCCATTTGAGAGATAAGAAAACTCAGATTCACAAGACTAATTCACCAGAGGTGGCCTAGCTGGTAAACAACACAGCTGGGATTCAAACTCAGGACTATATTCTCTTCTTCCTTAGGAATATAAGTCCCAATAGGGACTGCATTTCCCAGCTTCCCTTGCAGTTGAGTGTGACCATGTGACAAATTTCTGGCCAGTAAGGTGTTAGCATACAACTGACCACTGTTCTTTGCAGGAGGCGTTGTCTTTTCTTCTCCCCCTTCCTCCTTCCTGCTGGCCAAATGAGCATGTGATAGCTGGAGCAAAGTAAAGATATCTTGGATCATGAGGTAGAAGCTAGGAGCCATGGAAGGATGTAGGAGAAGCCCAGATTTCTGTTGACTTCTAAAGCTATAATGTCAGCCTTCAACTACCTACCTACAGACTTATTTTTGTGAAAGAAAAATAAATGTGTCTTGGTTAAGCCATGGTTTTCAAAGGTTTTTAGTGGGTTAATCACAGCTGAACCTGCATTTTAACACATTCAGACTTAGAAACTTGCACTATTTTATTCATACGTTCTCTCAAACAAAATAATATTTCATTACAGCAAAGGCCACAGAATATTTCATTCTGTGCAGAATATTTCATAGAGTGTAGAACATATCTACACTATAAGAAACTTGAGGATAATTCAAATTTACAATTATTCTCAACTTCTTGCACAGTGCCTGTTGCAGAGCAGCACCTCGACCAATACTGTCAATTAATTAACTCATAAATGAAGGAATCAATATTTTAAATAATCTGAGATCAATAATTACCCCTAGGCTAGCTCTTGCCTATTACCCATCATTCCCTTTAGCACATTGGCACCAACTCTGAAGAAGTGCAAATTGACCTAATATTGACCATAGAAAAGCAGTAAAGATAAATTCAGCTTCCACAACAAAAAACGCATTTGAATTCCCCACTCTTGGATTTCCAGGCATCCTTCCATTAGCCCCAGCTCTAAGAGGGTTCTACCCAACATTTACTGCAGGTGTCCTGTCTTGTTGTAGTCCTAACATGAATCCAAGATGCTCCACAGAGCACGGAAAGGCTCCTGTCCGATCCCAGTGTCTGGGCTGGAAACAGAAGAGGCTTCTGCTACTTTGTCACACTGAAGAGTAAGTCATCCCAACTCATTATGTGTGCATGTAAGGGAAGAAAGAAGAACTGAATAACCAATTCCCAAATTATGAAAGGGCAAGACTACCTAAAAAAAATAAACCTTGGCCGGGCGCGGTGGCTCACACCTATAATCCCAGCACTTTGGGAGGTCAAGGTGGGTGAATTACCTGAAGTCTTGAGTTCAAGACCAGCCTGGCCAACACGGTGAAACCCTGTCTCTACTAAAAATACAAAAATTAGCTGGGCGTAGTAGCAGGTGTAATCTCAGCTACTCAGGAGGCTGAGGCAGGAGAATCGCTCGAACTCAGGAGGCAGAGGTTGCAGTGGAGCTGAGATGCTGCCATTGCACTCCAGCCTGGAGGACAAGAGCCAGACTCTGTCTCAAAATAAATAAATAAATAAATAAATAAATAAATAAATAAATAAATAAAAATAAAAAATAAACCGTGAATTTTGGAGCCCCCAGTGAGGTGATTCAGTGGAGATGTTTCATATTTAAGGAAAAGAGATGAGTTTAGCAAGATGTGGAGCCCAGAGCTGGAGCTCATGATGTTCCTACTGAAGATTCTACTGTGCATGAGCCCTTAAAAATACAAGATAATAGAATTTTTTTTTTAAAGGCAGATGTGGATATACTTCCAAATATATATCCACATCTGGAAAGAAAATGTACAGGGCTCTAGATGGAAGGAATTAAGCGGGTATTTGTATTTGTATTATGGCGATTGGCTTTACCTTCTCATTTTGCATAATCTCTTTTTCAATGGTGAGGAGTGTAATTTCCCTTCACTTCATAGAATGGTACTTGGAGAGGACAGAGAGGAAGTCTCTGCATTTTGTGAAAGAGAAAATTACCGGCACCCCTTTTGTTCTCTTAGGCAGGATTTGGATGGATTACGCATACTTAAAATGGAAGGCGGCTTTTAACCTTAAAAAAAAAAGAGAAAAGAAAAAGAGAAAGAAAACTCCTTGCATTAACACAGTGCATTGACATGTTACTAAATCTAAGGAATTTTGAAGGATAAATTCCCAGACTTTATCCAAAACATGAAACAAATTCTTCAAACACAAGCTGCCAAGCTCATCTACTTGTTCAGATCCCTGCAACTTTGGTCTCACCAAACTGCTTGCTTAGCTTTTTGATTGGTTGCTTAACCCTTCCAGGCCGATTGAAGTAGTGGGCAGGGCGAGCTGGAGGGGGCTGTTCAACCAGCTCAGAGCATTGCCTCCTCTCGGAAGATCAGACTTCTGGAATCGATTTTGGTCCAGAATTGCATTACTCAAAGAATGCGGAGTATGCACAGGCCTTGATGGCTTGTGAACCACACTTCCTGAAGCTGGCCACAAGCCAGAGCTGAGGCCATCAGCATCTTAAAAATGAATTGTTTATGAGACAAAGAACAATCCACTCAATTTCTGAAATCACTGAAGTGGAAAGCTTGTCTGTAAGTAACCTAAAACTTGGTTGACATTTAGGCTCCTTTGTATTTCAAGTATATGGGAGGGATCAAATGTCACCCCAAAATGTCTTTTACTCTCCACATGCAGGCATTGTAAGGCATTGAGTAGCCTAGGATTATATCTTGCTGAAACTAAACTGCTCTGGTCAGAAGACTATTTTTCTATCAAAAATATTGCCAACTCACATCTCAAAAAGCAGAAGAGATAGGACAAAATGTGGTAAGGAAAGATAAAGAAGAGGGATAATTCTGTCTCTCCAATAATTTAAAGACCAGTGGGCAAGATGAGACAAATATCCGTGAAGAATGCCTAAAAATGAAAATAAAGCAACTGTTTGAAGGGGAATCCTGCACAGTTTTTTAGGACAGGGTGGTTTATGGAGTCATGGCTAGAAACAAGGGGAACGTTCCAGCTGTTGAGAAAAGATTGGGATGAAGGCTTAGAGGCAGGAGTTAGTAAAGTTAGCTGTGGGTGTGCGTGGTTGGAGTGAAGAAATCCTAGCCTGAAAAGAAGACAAGGTAAGCACAGAGTAGTGATGAAATGAAAGGAGAGCCATGTGGGGCCCAGCTTTGCTTTATGCTCCAAGTAGGTTATAATTATCTTATGATTATATTATTACTCTCTACTTAGGCAAGGAGTAATTTTCACCTGATATCTTTCAGACTATCTTTTCCATTTCTTCTCTTGTTTGGAACATTTTCTTCAAAGTTACCTCCTCTAAAAATGTGCTATTGGCTCATAAAAGCCACTTCTGGCTCTCGAATTCCACAATACCATGTAAGTTACCATACTAAGTAGCTATCCTTTATGCAAAGAGAGAAGTATGTCTTTTCAATCAGGTGATGTATATAGAATCATAGGTCAGACATCTGTCCGAATAATTGGGTAATTGATTATCTGGCACTCTGCAGGCAAGTCTGAAGCATTTTATTCCTCTGCTACTGAATCACAGCATCTTAAATAGTAATGATAATGACATTGCCATTTTCACGTTTTCTACTGAATTCCCTTCTCTGCTCACAAAGAAGCCTAAGAAAACTCTACCTGAAAGGAAAATATCTTATTTTCCTTACTGTCAGAATCACACACCTAGTTAGCCAATTTTTTTGTGATATCAATAATAAAAAGTAACACATTCTCAAAGGGTATTCATTGAAATTCTAGTGAGGCCAATGTCTCCAAGTGAAACCCTAGCATTGATTCTAGTGAACTGAATCACACCAACTTCATAGGAACCTAGAGCCAACCTGACTGAAAGAATTACCCCAAATTGAATGAATCTTGTGCAACTTTGGCTGTGTTTTAAAAATTTTTGCTTCCTAAAGTAACCCAAGGAGGTAAAGGACTGCTTTGAAAGCAAATATGGCAAATGCAGGCAAAAATTGACCCTCTTTTTAAACAGACTATGGTCAATAAAATTAAGTGAGCTGCAGTATAAATTTGTCAAGGATGTAGATAGTGTCTATCATAGCGTTTTGGTGATCAAATGAGTTAAAGAATGAATGGCTTGTTTTTTTAAAAAGTTCATATTCATTAGTTTGAGATGGACCAATCAATATGAAATGGTTGGAGAAGATAGTAAATAAAATGGGTTAACTCTTTCAGTCTATCTTAAGGTAGCACTAGCAAGAACATTGAAGAAAACAATTAGTTCGCTTGTCCAGAAATAAAGGTTGTTGCAATTGTTATCATCAGGGACTACCATAGACTGATTCAACTAATTTTCCCATGAGCAGTACATTCCAGAGCTTTTGAAAAGCCCCAACATTTCACAGCATGTCTCACCAGCAGGGAAGGCCCCTTAAAGATAATTTAATCCAGTCCATGTGTTTAGGAGGAAGAAACAAAGCCCCACAGAGGTACTATAACTTGTCCAATGTCACACAGATATTTACCAGTCCAGCTAATGCCCCTTCTATGGCACCATGGGTCCACCCTATAAACTCATGGGAAGCAAGAACAGCTAGGCCAAAAGGAACTGCTGAACCCAGGTTGCTGGAGCCAGAAGGGCTATTTAGGAAAGACTAAGCTGGTTGCAAGTTATTTGGGAGAATTGAACAGATACAGAGGAATGTTAAGCTAGGGCACAAAAGCCACAAGATCCCTATCCAGATGAAGTAAAATGCAGAACAAGGGGAACATGAAGCTTTGTTGGTAAAAGCATGGAGAAGGAACATTGCAAAAATCCAGTGAGCTTGACTGCTGCAAGGATCTCCAAATGCAACAGTGTCAGAAGAATTTGAGTTTCTTCTGCGGTTGGCTGGGAGAAGGATACAGTGGCTCATGAGATCTTCATAGCAAACACTGCTGAGTGAGACACCATCATTTCCAGTGACACAGAGCAAAAATAAAACTGAGGACCACAAAGAAATGACAGGGTACTCAAATCCAGGCAGAACAAAAGTGCAGAGAATTTTCAGTTGTTTTAAGAGAAAAACATCTTCACCGTAATGTCAAGAATAGATATTACAAAGAAGAGAAAAGGGACCGTCTTAAGATTTCTCTTGACACAACGTTAAAGAAATCTATATTACTCTTAACATGGTAGCAGGCAGTGTTACTATGGCAGACAAAGGCAAGGCGGCAAAGGGTACTTCGTAGAAGAGGATTAAACAATTCTCATAGCATGGAAAAAGGGGCCTTAAGTGGAATGTGAGAGAAAGGTTTTATATCTTAGGCCAGAGTCTGGAAAATAGAATGTTTGAATACCTCCATGGGGAGGAAGGACAGACTTGCACAGCATTCCAAAGGGTGGGATCAGCAAAAAGCCCAGACAAGAAGGGCTGCCCATTGATCATTTCACCCAAACTCCATATGAAAATATTAAAATTCAGATTCTGCCTATAGACAGAACAGCAGGACATAACCTAAAAGAGAGAAATGAGGCTTCTTCCAAGGTGGAGTGGACTCAATCAGGCAGATGGGCCCTCGTGTTTCAACCACACAGTGATGGAATTGGCAAGGGTCAAAAAATCACAGTTGTCCTGGAGCCAGGGCTGACTGGTTTGGCTGAAATGGCTTAGTAGCAGTTTGGTTGCCATGCTTGCAGAGGCAGCTTTGGTTAATTATCTGGGTGTTTGGGCTACATGAGATCAAATATTTTGAGAATTAGAAAAATCCAAATAACTGACACCATTTTTTCTTTGAGTTTGTCTCCAAGTGTTTTGGCATCACCATCCTTGAGTCAAGGAAGAAAATATGAAGAATGTAAAAGTACAGTAAAAAGGCAGATTTATGTTCCTGGGTTTTTACTGATAATTGTACATATTTATGAGGTACGTGTGATATTTTGATACATGCACAGACTGTGTAATGATCATATCAGGGTTATTAGGATATTCATCACCCCAAACATTTATAATTTATTTCTTTTAAGAATATTCCAAATCTTCCAGCTATTTTGAAATATACAATAAGTGATTGATAATTATAGTCATGCTACTGTGCTATCAAACACAAAACTTATTCTTTCTAACTGTATTTTTATATGCATTAACCAGCCTCTCATCAACCTTCCTTTCCTCCAACCCTTCCTACCCTTTAATAACCAGCATTCTACTCTCTACCTTCATGTGATCAACTTTTGTAACTTCCATATATGATAGAGAACACGTTATTAATCTTTCTGTGCCTGCCTTATTTCACTTAATGTAATGTCCTCCAGGCTCATCCGTGTTGCTGCAAATGACAAGATTTCATCCTTTTTATGGCTGAGTAATATTTCTTTGTGTATAAATACCACATTTTCTTTATCCACTCATCCTTTGATGGACATTTAGGTTGATTCCATATCATGGTTATTGCGAATAGTGCTGCAAAAAACATGGGCATGCAGATATCTCTTCGATACACTAATTTCCTTTCTTTTGAATATATACCCATCAGTAGGATTGCTGGATCATATGGTGGTTCTATTTTTTGTTTTCTGAGGAAACTCCATACTATTTTTCATAATGGCTGTACTAATTTCCATTTTACCAACGGTGTATTAGAGCATCCCTTTCTCTGCATCCTCACCAGCATGTTATTTTTTGGTTTTGATAAAAGTCATTTTAACTGGGCTGAGATGATACTGCATTGTGGTTTCAGTTTGCACTTACCTGATGATTAGAGATGTTGATCTTTTTTTTTCATACACCTGTCAGTCATTTGTGTCTTTTTTGAGAAATGTCTATTCAAATCATTTGCCCATTTTTAAATCAGATTATTTGGATTTTTGCTATTGAGTCTTTGAGATTCTTAGATAATTTTAGTTATTAATCCCTTGTCAGATGGGCAGTTTGCAAATATTTCCTCTCATTCTGTAAGCTGTCTCTTTATTGTGTTGATCGTTTCTTTCACTGTGCAGAAACCTTTTAGCTTGATGTAATCCCATTTGTCTATTTTTGCTTTTCTTGCCTATGCTTTTGAGGTCTTACCCAAAAAACTTTGCCCAGACCAGTGTCCTGAAGTATTTCCCCAATATTTTCTTCTAGTAGTTTTATAGTTTTGGGTCTCAAATTTAAATTTTTAATTCATTTTCATTTGATTTTTCAAAATAATGAGAGATAAAAGCCTGGTTTTATTCCTCTGCATTTGAGTATCCAGTTTTTCCAGCAACAACTATTGAAGAGACTGTCCCTTCCTCCAAAGTATGTTCTTGGTGCCTTGGTGTCAAAAATGATTTGGCTATAAATGCATGGATTTATTTCTGGGTTCTCTATTCTGTTCTATTGGTCTAATATGTCTGTTTTTAAGCTAGTACCATACTGTTTTGGTCACTGCAGTTTTGTGGTATATTTTGAAGTTAGTGTGATGTCTCCAATTGTGTTCTTTTTGCTCAAGATTACTTTCACTATTCAAGATTTTTTGTGGTCCCTTACAAAATTTAGGATTTTTTTCTATTTCTGTGAAGAATCTCATTGAAATTTTAATAGAGATTACATTGAATCTGTAGATCACTTTGGGTAGTATAGACATTTTAACAATATTAATTATTCCAGTCTATGAACATGGGATATCTTTCTTTTTTGTTTATCCTTTTCTATTTCTTTTGTCAGTGTTTGATACTTTTCGTTTTAGAAATCTTTCACTTCTTTGGTTAAATTTATTTCTAGGTATTTTTGTGGCTACTACAAATAGGATTTCTTTCTAGATTTCTTCTTCAGATAGTTTGCTATTATTGTACAGAGGTGCTAGTGATTTCTGTATGTTCGTTTTGTATTCTGAAATTTTACTGAATTCGTTTATCAGATCTAAGAGTTTGTGAAGCCTTTAGGTTTTCCCAAATATAAGACCATGTCATCTGCAAACAAGGACTTCTTCCTTTTCATTTTGAATGTCCATTATTTCTTCCTGTTGCCCAATTGCTTCAGCTAAGACTTCAAGTACTATGTTGAATAAGTGTGCTGAGAGTAGAACCCTTGTTTTGTTCCATATCTTAGAGAAAAAGCTTTCAATTTCTCCCCATTTAGTATGATGTTACCTATGGGTTTGTCATATATGGCCTTTAGTGTTTTTATGTCATATATGGACTTCTATATTCAGTTTGTTGAGTTTTTATCAGTAAAAGCTATTGAATTTTATCAAATATTTTTTCTGTGTCTATTAAGTTTATTATATGGTTTTTGTCCTTTATTCTGTTAATGTGGTATATCACATTTATTGATTTGTATATATTGAATCATTCTTGCATTCCTGGATAAATCTCATTTGAGTATGCTGTATTATCTTTCTCATGTATTGGTGGATTCGATTTACTCGGATTTTGTTGAAAATTTTTGAATATATGTTCATCAAAAATATTGGTCTGTAGTTTTCCTTTTTGTTGCATTTTTCACTGATTTTGGTATTAGGGCAAGGCTTGCCTCATAGAATGAATTAGAAAAGATTCCTTCTGGTTTAATATTTTGGAACAGTTTGAAAAGAATTGGTGTTAGTCCTTCTTTAAAAGTTTGGTAGAGTTCAGCAGTAAAGTAATCTGGTCCTGGGCTTTTCTTTGGGAGGCTTTTTATTACTGTTTCAACCTTTTTATTCATTATTGATTTGTTCAGGTTTTCTATTTCTTCCTGTTCAATCTAGGTAGATAATATGTGTACAGGATATTGGCCATTTCCTCTAGGTTTTTGCATTTGTTAGTATATAGTTGTTCATAATAGTATCTAATGATCCTTTGCATTTATGTGATATCAGTTGTCTCTTTGTCTCTGATTTTATTTGGGTCTCCTTTCTTTTGTTTCCTTTTAGTCTAGTTAACAGTCTGTGGGTTTTATTTATCTTTTTTAAAAACCAAAATTTGTTTTGTTGATTTTTTTTTAGTTTCTATTTTGTTTAGTTTTCCTCTCACCTTTACTATTTATTTCTCTTTACTAATTTTGGATTTGCTTATTCTTGCTTTTCTACTTCCTTGAGGTGCCTTATTAGGTCATGTATTTAAAATCTTTCTACTTTTTTTGATGTAGGCATTTATCTCTATAATCTTTCCTCTTAGTGCCACTTTTGTTGTATCCCATAGGTTTTGGTACATTGTGTTTAAATTTTTGTTTCAAGAAAGTTTTTTATTTCCTTTAATTTCTTCATTGACCCAATGTTCATTTAGGAGCATATTATTTAATTTTCATGTATTCCAAAATGTCTAAAGTTCCTCTTGTTAATGATTTCTGATTTATTCCATTGCAATCTGAGTAGATGCTTCATATAATGTCAGTTTTTAAATATTTTTTGAGACTAGTTTTTGGGCCTCACATGTGGGCTATCTTGGAGAATGTTGCATGTGATGATGAGAAGAATGTGTGTTCTGCAGCTGGTGGATGAAATGTTCTAAGATTTGTCTGTTAAGTCTATTTGGTCTATAGTGCAGTTTAGGTCTGATGTTTCTTTGTTAATTTTCTGTCTAAATGATCTGTCCAATGCTAAAAGTGGAGTTGAAGTCCTCAGTTATTGTTGTAAAAGTCTCTCTCTTTTGTTCTAATAATATTTGCTTTATATATCTGGTGCTCCAGTATTTGGTGCGTAAGTATTTGCAATTGTTCTAGGCTCTGGCTGAATTGATCCCTTTGTCATTATATAATTACCTTCTTTTTCTCTTTTCATGTTTTTTGACTTGAAGTCTATTTGGTGTGACATAAGTCTAGCTATTCCAATATGCTATTGGTTTTTGTTTGCATGTAATATATTTTTTCATCTTTTCACTTTCAGTCTGTGTGTGTCTACAGGTGAAGTGAGTTTCTTATAAGGCAGCATATAGTTGAGTCTTGTGGTTTTTTTTAATCCATCTAGCAAGTCTATATTTTTAATTGGATAATTTAAATTGTTTACATTCAAGGTTGTTATTAATAGGTAAGGACTTGTTCCTGTCATTTTTGTTAATTTCTGGGGTTGTTTTGTACATCTTTTGTTCCTTTCATCCTCTGTTACTGTTTATCTTTGCAATTTGGTGACTTTTTGTATAGTGATGATGTTTGATTTCTTATTCTCTTTCATTTGTGTATCTGCTTTTCCAGCAAGCTTTATATTTTAGTGTGTTTTCATGATCATGGACATTGTACTTTCATTTCCAAACACAGGACTCCCTTAAGCATTTCCTATAGTGCCAATCTAGTGGTGATTAATTTCCTTAGCTTTTGTTTCCCTGGGAAATGCTTTATTTCTCCTTCATTTCTGAAGAATAGTTTTACTGTGGACAATATCCTTGGCTGGCAGTTCTTTTCTTTCAGCACTTTGAATATATCATCTCATTTTCTCCTGGCCTGTAAGGTTTCTGCTGAGAAGTCCACCAATTGTCTGATGGGGATTCCCTTATACATGACTTGTTGCTTTTCTCCTCCTGTTTTTATCATTCTCCCTTTGTCTTTCAGTTACAACAGTTTGACAATAATGTGCCTCACAGAGTACCTTTTAAGGTTGAATCTATTTGGGAATCTTTCAGCTTCCTCTATGTAGATGTGTATATCTCTTCCAAGATTTGAGAAGCTTTCGATTATTATTTTATTAAATAGGTTTTCTATGCCTTTTTCCGTATCTTCTCCTTCTGAAATTCCAAACATTTGAAAGTTTGTTTGCTTGATAGAGTTCCATATTTCACATAGGTTTTCTTCATTCTTTTTTCTTTTTCTTTTTTTTCTGATTAACTATCTTCAAGTACAAAAATTATTTATTCTGTTTGATCTAGTCTAATTTTGAAGTTCTTGATTGAATTTTTTATTTGATTCATTGAATTTTTCAGTTCCAGGATTTCTGATTGGCTCTTTTCCATACATATCTTCTTATTGAATTTCTAATTCAGATCATGAATTGTTTTCCTGATTTCTTTGTATTGTTTATCTGTGTTCTCTTATATCTCACTGAGCTTTCTTAAGATCATTATTTGAATTTATTTTCAGACATTTCATAAATGTTATTTTCTCTGGGGGTTTGTTAATGGAGAATTATTGTGTTCCTTTGGAAGTGTTCATGTTTCCTTGCTTTTTCATGTTTTTTGTGTCGTTATATTAATATCTGTGAATCTGGTGCAGTTTTTTTCTTCTTCCAAGTTTATAGAGTGGCTTCATAAAGAGAGATGTTTTCCTATAGATGTATTTATAATGTCAGTTGGGTAGGGTGCTTTGGCTTTGGTTCTGGGTGGGCATTGTAGTGTAGTCACCAAATGATCATTTCTGCTGTAATCAGCATCAGCAGTGTCCTTGAGTTCCTGAGTGGCTTAGGCTGTGGTTGTTTGTGGAGCTTATAATGTGGCTTTTCTGGGGAGGGGTGCACCAGCTGGGCTAGTCGTCAGGCCCTTAGGTGACATGTCGGGGCACCAGAAGTGGTGATGGCTTTCCCCTAGTGGACCAGTCTTTGAACCCCAGGTGGGATATGTGGTGCCAGTAATGGCAACAGCAAGTCAGGTAGGCCAGTCTTCAGGCCCCTAGGTAGGGAATATGGGCGCCAGTGGTGTCTGCAGCTAGTCAGGTATATTTTTGTTATGTTTTGTTTTGTTTAACTCAATGATAGGCTATAAGCCAAAGTTCTGGCTATTTTTTCACAGGTAAAAGGAAGTGTAGCATTTATGGCATTAGATGAGAGATCACCTTAAATTTGCCTTAGTGCAAATCTCATCTGTCTGAATTTATCACGAACAGGCATATTTGGGCAAATAAGCATATATATGATCCAGAAAGGATGATTCAAGGTTTGTTCTTTGTGTGGAAAGTGGTTCAGAGCATAGAATTTGAAGTCAAATAGAGCTAGCTTCAAATCATGGTGTTCTTGTGTCCAAAGGCAAATTGCCTTTGGACACAATTTCTCTGAACCTTAGTGTGCATATCTTTAAAATGTGATGAAAATAGCACAACTTTACAGGGTTACTGTGAGCATTAACTGAGATCACACCCATAGGCCATATAGTACAATGCCTGGTACAAGGGATGTGCTCAGTAAATATTATCTGTGACATAAATAAGATCAAAATAAATTGAGGGAGGAGACCTAAGATATTCAGATGGGTTCTTTTTGTTGTTATTGTTTGTCTCTTGTTTTACCTTGAAGTAATATACAGAAGATGTTTCGAGGACTATTGAGCTACATAACCTCCAAGGATCACTTCAATTCTAAGGTACCAAGTCTTTATTTTATAATTAAATATCTTAAGCCATCACTCACCTTTTCTATTGGTTGTCCAATCATCACTAATTTGTTAAGAAAGGACACCCAACAAGTGCTGAAGCCAGTGTGGAGCAATTACAGGCCAGAAAATTAAAAGGAGAAAAGACTGTTCTGCACGCAGTTCAACAATTGCATAGAGCAACCAAGGTGTCCTAAGTCATCATATTGTGCATGCACGCAAAATAATGGCCAGCATGTTGAATGAGATGATACATGCCAGGCTCTGTGCTTGGCATTTTCCATGCATTGTCTCACTTAAATCTCATAACCCTGAGATAGATACACTCATTATCACCATTTCACAGAAAAGAAAAAAAAGCTTAAAGAGATTTTAGAACTTACCTGAGGTTATATAGCTAGGAAGTAGCATGAACCCAGCCTATCAAAGCTCAAGTTTAACCACTCTACTACCTATCTATTATACGTCTTCCAGCCTTTTGAAAGGATAATTAACACACTGCTTTTCAATATTTTTGTTTTAATCTATAAAGTGTTCCACACTGTCTTTGTGAAGTAGAAAATCAGCAGGTACTGTGAATTAAGTAATAGACTGGAAAACTAGGTTCTGATCATAATTTGGGCACTAAATAGTGGGCAAGCCATTCAAAATCTCTGTCCTGCGAATCCTCTGCTTTAAAATAAAGTTATTGTGTTTTACATCTAAAACCCATTTCATGGGTTTAGATGTAAACCCATGAAATTGACTATTTGACTAAGAGTTGGTTTCATGGATGAAAAGTTGCAATTTCTTTTTTCTTTTCTTTTTTTTTTTTTTTTTTTGGCTTAGACGGAGTCTCGTTTTATTGCCCAGGCTGACTGCAGTGGCGAGATCTCAGCTCACTGCAAGCTCCGCCTCCTGGGTTCACACCATTCTTCTGCCTCAGCTTCCGGAGTAGCTGGGACTACAGATGCTCTGCTGATTTTTTTTTTTTTTTTTTTTAAGACGAAGTCTTGCTCTGTTGCCCAGGCTGGAGTGCAGTGGCGCGATCTCGGCTCACTGCAAGCTCCGTCTCCCGGGTTTACGCCATTCTCCTGCCTCAGCCTCCCGAGTAGCTGGGACTACAGGCACCCGCCACCATGCCCCTATTTTTTTTTTTGTATTTTTAGTAGAGACGGGGTTTCACCGTGGTCTCGATCTCCTGACCTCGTGATCCACCCGCCTTGGCCTCCCAAAGTGCTGTGATTACAGGCGTGAGCCACCATGCCCCGCCTAATTTTTTCTATTTTTAGTGGAGACGGGGTTTCACTGTGTTAGCCAGGATGGTCTGATCTCCTGACCTCATGATCCGCCCGCCTCGGCCTCCCAAAGGCATTTTCTTAACCATCACAAAATGTGTAGAGGACAGTTCCTTGGTATTTACCTGACTTAGTAACATGGAGCATTTTCTCATTGAAAGCTCCAAGGCCTGGCACTTTCTCTTCTTCTTGGCACCTTTGCTTCTGGGATTTCACTTTCTACTGCAATATCTTCTCTCCTAGATCTTTATTATCTCTACCCAAATTCACTTTGTAACCAACATACAATTAAAGGTGAAAATGTCATAATAAAATCCATCTGCTTTATCTATCCAAGGCTGGAGACTTTCTTCAAAACCAAGGACGTTGTTAAATTGCTGACTACCCTAACTAAGGGTACTAGTCCTTGGTATGCCTGAGAAACAATAGCATAGTACTATTACTGGTGACCAAATCATTTGAGATTAAGAAGAAAATAAACTCATTTCCAGAGTTGGTCATGGGAGGAGAGGGGAGAGAGGAGAGAGGAGACCCTTTTAATAATCAATTATTAACTCGTTCTGCCCATGAAAATATTTTTCAGACTTGCTTCCAACCCTTAAGAATGGAGGAAAAGAATACAAAATGACATCAGCCCAGTCATTATTTTCATTCTCTCCAATACCAGTAGGTAGATTTTTGGCTGATAAATCATAGTTTTCAAATTCCTCCGATGGAAAATTCTTTGACTATAATGATTGAATACCCATTAATGTTGACAAAGTTGGACTGCCTGGCCTTGTTCTTAGGTTAAAACTGATGAGCAGACCCACTCCTTACCTTGATGATGTAAAAAAGACTAACACAATCCTAGTACAAAACAATTTTATGACTCTGGCCAGTGACTACTTGGAAAGAAAAAGACATCAAACTTTCCCCCCAAATTTTGATAATACCAAATGTCCTCCCCAAAAGGTGTTGAATAGGAGAAAGAGAAAATAGAGATGCCAGTGATACTGTACAAAATCAAATCTGAATTTCGACTATTGCAACCTAATAGGGGTTTAGTCACTTAAGAAAAAAAAAAACCTATTATTGGACACTTACATGTGCCAGGTGATATGAAGATAAAGAATACCATTCTTCCCTGAAGGAGTTGACAGTGTACTTACTGAAGGAGATGGTGAAGTAATCAGAGAATTCTAAGTTAGATTTGAGTGCTTTCCCCACCACGACCCATCACACCCACAGCAGAGTTGGTCTAATTCTAGCTTTAGGAATCAGTTCACACCAGCTCCTTGAACAGTTGGATCCATAACCAAAAACCACAAGATGAGGGGTGAAATGTTCAGCCATCTCTGTAACAATGACTCAAGCAGTCAGAAGCCCACAGAAGGCTGGAGCTGTATTGGAGATGCTGCTGCCAAAGCTTCATGCTGACTCCATCTGTGTCATCAGCATTAACATCACACCTCCTCAACATCTTGGGGCAGAGCTCACTTCTGACATTTTCACACTAGCAGCCAGTCAGATTCTGAAACTGATGTTTATGCTGCTGACATGTCATCTTCTTTTAGCCCTCTTGCATCAGTCTGTCTGCTGTGCCTTTTCCACAGCGCAGCTCAGCTCAGTGTGGATCACAGGCAGTCAAAAAAAAAACAAGACAGGAAGTAACCCTAACGTCATGGAGTCCCTCCACAGGAGATGAGTAATTTGTGGGGAAATATTAATGTTCTGAGTGTCCTCATCCCATCCTCTCCTGTTTTCATATTTCTGGTCCCACTGGCCCAAGCATCTTATTCCTCCACGTTCTTTGCCCTGATGCAGAGAAGCTGGCTTTGTTGTTCTTCTTAAGGACACTTCAGCCTTTTGCTTTCAATCAGCCAGCTCTTCATTCAAGAGATCACCCTTTTGCTTCCTTGTGTCCATCACAATTTTCTTCTCAAGATAATCACCTCAGGTCCATAAGAGGCTGCTCCAGACACTTTGCAATGAATATGCTAATGTTGTCCTGTTTTTTAATTCTGTGATTTTTGAAAAATCTCCAGAAGTTAGTATTATTCCAATTTAAGTTACATTTACCACATATTTACTACTTTCCTGATGTTTTTCCTTTTTTTTTTTTTTTGAGACGAAGTCTCGCTGTGTTGCCAGGCTAGAGTGCAGTGGTGTGATGGCTTACTGCAACCTCCGCCTCCCAGGTTCAAGCCATTCTCCTGCCTCAGCCTCCTGAGTAGCTGGGACTACAGGTGCGTGCCACCACACCCAGCTAATTTTTGTATTTTTGGTAGAGATGGGGTTTCACCATGTTGGTCAGGATGGTCTCAATCTCTTGACCTTGTGATCCGCCTGCCTCGACCTCTCCAGTGCTGTGATTATAGGCATGAGCCACCGCGCCTGGCCCCTGAATTTTTTCTTGTACCTTAGAACATCTATCTGCAATTTTCCTTCTGCATGAAGAACACGTGTTAGAATTTCCTTTGAAGAAAATGTGCTGATGACAAACTCAGCTTTTGTTTATTTAAAAATAACTTTATTTACTTTTATCTTGAATTATTTACTTTTATCTTGAAATATGCTTTCCCTGAGTGTGGAATTCTTGGTTGGCAGTTACTACATCAAACTGAGAATAATCCACTATCTTCTGGCTTCTGTTGTTGCTACTGAGAAGTCAACTTCAGACTAACTTTTATTCTTTTAAAGATAATATATCTTTTTGCTGTGGCTGCTTTTAAGATTTTTCTCTTTGTCTCTGGTGTTGTACAGTTTTCCTATGATGCGTCTAGGTATAGATATCTTTTTATTTATCTGGTTGGGGACAAATTCTAAAAGAGCTATAACACTAGTTATGGCATTTTTATTTCCAGGGGTTCTCTATTTGGCTCTTTCATCAAATTTGTGATATCATTTTTATAGTATCCTATTACTTGAAGTCATTTTCAAACTTGTCTTCTATTTCTCTGAGCATATTTAACATGTCTATTTTATAGGCTTTCTCTGATATTCCAATATCTGAAATAACTGCAAGACTTTTTCTTTTTGTTTTTTGTTTGCTTTTATTGGTTCTTATGCATGTCAATTTGTTTTCTTATAGGCTTGGTTATCTTTGGCAGTGTGATGACTTTTTTTTTTTTTTTTTGAGATGGAGTTTCACTCTTCTTGCCCAGGCTGGAGTACAATGGCATGATCTCGACTCACTGCAACCTCCACCTCCCAGATTCAAACGATTCTCCTGCCTCAGCCTCCCGAGTAGCTAGGATTATAAGCATGCACCACTATGCTTGGCTAAATTTTTTCTTATTATTATTATCTAGTAGAGACGGGGTTTCACCATGTTAGTTAGGCTGATTTTGAACTCCTGACCTCAGGTGATCCACCCGCCTCAGTCTCCCAAAGTGCTGGGATTACAGGCGTGCACCACCACGCCCAGCCTGTGATGACCTTTCTACTCCGGGAAAAAAAAAAAAAGTCATTGGAATGATCTCAGGCTTTCTTCATAGAGTACTTGGATTTTCTTCTGTCGGGTGCCCAAGAAAACCACCAATTGAGAACCATCTTGTTTTGTCTTTTATTAGATTTCTCACCTTGTTTGAACCCTGGATTTTTATCTCTGTAATCCTCATCTTACATCAAAACAATAGTTTAAAAGTGCAAGAGTACCCTCGGAAGAAAATAAGCTTCCATGGTCAGCTTTCCTTTCAAGATTTCTGGTTTCTCTTCAGCTTCTCTTGTCAGTTCTTTGATGTTTTAAGATTTTTTTTCAGAAGGAATGGTACCAGTTCCTCCTTGTACCTCTGGTAGAATTCGGCTGTGAATCCATCTGGTCCTGGACTCTTTTTGGTTGGTAAACTATTGATTATTGCCACAATTTCAGAGCCTGTTATTGGTCTATTCAGAGATTCAACTTCTTCCTGGTTTAGTCTTGGGAGAGTGTATGTGTCGAGGAATGTATCCATTTCTTCTAGATTTTCTAGTTTATTTGCGTAGAGGTGTTTGTAGTATTCTCTGATGGTAGTTTGTATTTCTGTGGGATCGGTGGTGATATCCCCTTTATCATTTTTTATTGTGTCTATTTGATTCTTCTCTCTTTTTTTCTTTATTAGTCTTGCTAGCGGTCTATCAATTTTGTTGATCCTTTCAAAAAACCAGCTCCTGGATTCATTGATTCTTTGAAGGGTTTTTTGTGTCTCTATTTCCTTCAGTTCTGCTCTGATTTTAGTTATTTCTTGCCTTCTGCTAGCTTTTGAATGTGTTTGCTCTTGCTTTTCTAGTTCTTTTAATTGTGATGTTAGGGTGTCAATTTTGGATCTTTCCTGCTTTCTCTTGTAGGCATTTAGTGCTATAAATTTCCCTCTACACACTGCTTTGAATGTGTCCCAGAGATTCTGGTATGTGGTGTCTTTGTTCTCGTTGGTTTCAAAGAACATCTTTATTTCTGCCTTCATTTCGTTATGTACCCAGTAGTCATTCAGGAGCAGGTTGTTCAGTTTCCATGTAGTTGAGCGGCTTTGAGTGAGATTCTTAATCCTGAGTTCTAGTTTGATTGCACTGTGGTCTGAGAGATAGTTTGTTATAATTTCTGTTCTTTTACATTTGCTGAGGAGAGCTTTACTTCCAAGTATGTGGTCAATTTTGGAATAGGTGTGGTGTGGTGCTGAAAAAAAAGTATATTCTGTTGATTTGGGGTGGAGAGTTCTGTAGATGTCTATTAGGTCTGCTTGGTGCAGAGCTGAGTTCAATTCCTGGGTATCCTTGTTGACTTTCTGTCTCGTTGATCTGTCTAATGTTGACAGTGGGGTGTTAAAGTCTCCCATTATTAATGTGTGGGAGTCTAAGTCTCTTTGTAGGTCACTCAGGACTTGCTTTATGAATCTGGGTGCTCCTGTATTGGGTGCATAAATATTTAGGATAGTTAGCTCCTCTTGTTGAATTGATCCATTTACCATTATGTAATGGCCTTCTTTGTCTCTTTTGATCTTTGTTGGTTTAAAGTCTGTTTTATCAGAGACTAGGATTGCAACCCCTGCCTTTTTTTGTTTTCCATTGACTTGGTAGATCTTCCTCCATCCTTTTATTTTGAGCCTATGTGTGTCTCTGCACGTGAGATGGGTTTCCTGAATACAGCACACTGATGGGTCTTGACTCTTTATCCAACTTGCCAGTCTGTGTCTTTTAATTGCAGAATTTAGTCCATTTATATTTAAAGTTAATATTGTTATGTGTGAATTTGATCCTGTCATTATGATGTTAGCTGGTGATTTTGCTCATTAGTTGATGCAGTTTCTTCCTAGTCTCGATGGTCTTTACATTTTGGCATGATTTTGCAGCGGCTGGTACCGGTTGTTCCTGTCCATGTTTAGCGCTTCCTTCAGGAGCTCTTTTAGGGCAGGCCTGGTGGTGACAAAATCTCTCAGCATTTGCTTGTCTATAAAGTATTTTATTTCTCCTTCACTTATGAAGCTTAGTTTGGCTGGATATGAAATTCTGGGTTGAAAATTCTTTTCTTTAAGAATGTTGAATATTGGCCCCCACTCTCTTCTGGCTTATAGGGTTTCTGCCGAGAGATCCGCTGTTAGTCTGATGGGCTTTCCTTTGAGGGTAACCCGACCTTTCTCTCTGGCTGCCCTTAACATTTTTTCCTTCATTTCAACTTTGGTGAATCTGACAATTATGTGTCTTGGAGTTGCTCTTCTCGAGGAGTATCTTTGTGGCGTTCTCTGTATTTCCTGAATCTGAACGTTGGCCTGCCTTGCTAGATTGGGGAAGTTCTCCTGGATAATATCCTGCAGAGTGTTTTCCAACTTGGTTCCATTCTCCACATCACTTTCAGGTACACCAATCAGACGTAGATTTGGTCTTTTCACATAGTCCCATATTTCTTGGAGGCTTTGCTCATTTCTTTTTATTCTTTTTTCTCTAAACTTCCCTTCTCGCTTCATTTCATTCATTTCATCTTCCATTGCTGATACCCTTTCTTCCAGTTGATCGCATCGGCTCCTGAGGCTTCTGCATTCTTCACGTAGTTCTCGAGCCTTGGTTTTCAGCTCCATCAGCTCCTTTAAGCACTTCTCTGTATTGGTTATTCTAGTTATACATTCTTCTAAATTTTTTTCAAAGTTTTCAACTTCTTTGCCTTTGGTTTGAATGTCCTCCCGTAGCTCAGAGTAATTTGATCATCTGAAGCCTTCTTCTCTCAGCTCGTCAAAATCATTCTCCATCCAGCTTTGTTCTGTTGCTGGTGAGGATCTGCGTTCCTTTGGAGGAGGAGAGGCGCTCTGCGTTTTAGAGTTTCCAGTTTTTCTGTTCTGTTTTTTCCCCATCTTTGTGGTTTTATCTACTTTTGGTCTTTGATGATGGTGATGTACAGATGGGTTTTCGGTGTAGATGTCCTTTCTGGTTGTTAGTTTTCCTTCTAACAGACAGGACCCTCAGCTGCAGGTCTGTTGGAATACCCTGCTGTGTGAGGTGTCAGTGTGCCCCTGCTGGGGGGTGCCTCCCAGTTAGGCTGCTCGGGAGTCAGGGGTCAGGGACCCACTTGAGGAGGCAGTCTGCCCGTTCTCAGATCTCCAGCTGCGTGCTGGGAGAACCACTGCTCTCTTCAAAGCTGTCAGACAGGGACACTTAAGTCTGCAGAGGTTACTGCTGTCTTTTTGTTTGTCTGTGCCCTGCCCCCAGAGGTGGAGCCTACAGAGACAGGCAGGCCTCCTTGAGCTGTGGTGGGCTCCACCCAGTTCGAGCTTCCCGGCTGCTTTGTTTACCTAAGCAAGCCTGGGCAATGGCGGGCGCCCCTCCCCCAGCCTCGTTGCCACCTTGCAGTTTGATCTCAGACTGCTGTGCTAGCAATCAGCGAGATTCCGTGGGCGTAGGACCCTCTGAGCCAGGTGTGGGATATCGTCTCGTGGTGCGCCATTTCTTAAGCCGGTCTGAAAAGCGCAATATTCGGGTGGGAGTGACCCGATTTTCCAGGTGCGTCCATCACCCCTTTCTTTGACTCGGAAAGGGAACTCCCTGACCCCTTGCGCTTCCCAGGTGAGGCAATGCCTCGCCCTGCTTCGGCTCGCGCACGGTGCGCACACACACTGGCCTGAAACTATTCCAATCAATAGAAAAAGAGGGAATCCTCCCTAACTCATTTTATGAGGCCAGCATCATTCTGATACCAAAGCCGGGCAGAGACACAACCAAAAAAGAGAATTTTAGACCAATATCCTTGATGAACATTGATGCAAAAATCCTCAATAAAATACTGGCAAACCGAATCCAGCAGCACATCAAAAAGCTTATCCACCATGATCAAGTGGGCTTCATCCCTGGGATGCAAGGCTGGTTCAATATACGCAAATCAATAAATGTAATCCAGCATATAAACAGAGCCAAAGACAAAAACCACATGATTATCTCAATAGATGCAGAAAAAGCCTTTGACAAAATTCAACAACCCTTCATGCTAAAAACTCTCAATAAATTAGGTATTGATGGGACGTATTTCAAAATAATAAGAGCTATCTATGACAAACCCACAGCCAATATCAGACTGAATGGGCAAAAACTGGAAGCATTCCCTTTGAAAACTGGCACAAGACAGGGATGCCCTCTCTCACCGCTCCTATTCAACATAGTGTTGGAAGTTCTGGCCAGGGCAATCAGGCAGGAGAAGGAAATAAAGGGTATTCAATTAGGAAAAGAGGAAGTCAAATTGTCCCTGTTTGCAGACGACATGATTGTTTATCTAGAAAACCCCATCGTCTCAGCCCAAAATCTCCTTAAGCTGATAAGCAACTTCAGCAAAGTCTCAGGATACAAAATCAATGTACAAAAATCACAAGCATTCTTATACACCAACAACAGACAAACAGAGAGCCAAATCATGAGTGAACTCCCATTCACAATTGCTTCAAAGAGAATAAAATACCTAGGAATCCAACTTACAAGGGATGCGAAGGACCTCTTCAAGGAGAACTACAAACCGCTGCTCAAGGAAATAAAAGAGGACACAAACAAATGGAAGAACATTCCATGCTCATGGGTAGGAAGAATCAATATCGTGAAAATGGCCATACTGCCCAAGGTAATTTACAGATTCAATGGCATCCCCATCAAGCTACCAATGACTTTCTTCACAGAATTGGAAAAAACTACTTTAAAGTTCATATGGAACCAAAAAAGAGCCCGCATCGCCAAGTCAATCCTAAGCCAAAAGAACAAAGCTGGAGGCATCACACTACCTGACTTCAAACTATACTACAAGGCTACAGTAACCAAAACAGCATGGTACTGGTACCAAAACAGAGATATAGATCAATGGAACAGAACAGAGCCCTCAGAAATAATGCCGCATATCTACAACTATCTGATCTTTGACAAACCTGAGAAAAACAAGCAATGGGGAAAGGAATCCCTATTTAACAAATGGTGCTGGGAAAACTGGCTAGCCATATGTAGAAAGCTGAAACTGGATCCCTTCCTTACACCTTATACAAAAATCAATTCAAGATGGATTAAAGATTTAAACGTTAGACCTAAAACCATAAAAACCCTAGAAGAAAACCTAGGCATTACCATTCAGGACATAGGCGTGGGCAAGGACTTCATGTCCAAAACACCAAAAGCAATGGCAACAAAAGCCAAAATTGACAAATGGGATCTAATTAAACTAAAGAGCTTCTGCACAGCAAAAGAAACTACCATCAGAGTGAACAGGCAACCTACAACATGGGAGAAAATTTTCGCAACCTACTCATCTGACAAAGGGCTAATATCCAGAATCTACAATGAACTCAAACAAATTTACAAGAAAAAAACAAACAACCCCATCAAAAAGTGGGCGAAGGACATGAACAGACACTTCTCAAAAGAAGACATTTATGCAGCCAAAAAACACATGAAGAAATGCTCATCATCACTGGCCATCAGAGAAATGCAAATCAAAACCACTATGAGATATCATCTCACACCAGTTAGAATGGCAATCATTAAAAAGTCAGGAAACAACAGGTGCTGGAGAGGATGTGGAGAAATAGGAACACTTTTACACTGTTGGTGGGACTGTAAACTAGTTTAACCCTTGTGGAAGTCAGTGTGGCGATTCCTCAGGGATCTAGAACTAGAAATACCATTTGACCCAGCCATCCCATTACTGGGTATATACCCAAAGGACTATAAATCATGCTGCTATAAAGACACATGCACACGTATGTTTATTGCGGCACTATTCACAATAGCAAAGACTTGGAACCAACCCAAATGTCCAACAATGATAGACTGGATTAAGAAAATGTGGCACATATACACCATGGAATACTATGCAGCCATAAAAAATGATGAGTTCATGTCCTTTGTAGGGACATGGATGAAATTGGAAACCATCATTCTCAGTAAACTATCGCAAGAACAAAAAACCAAACACCGCATATTCTCACTCATAGGTGGGAATTGAACAATGAGATCACATGGACACAGGAAGGGGAATATCACACTCTGGGGACTGTGGTGGGGTCGGGGGAGGGGGGAGGGATAGCATTGGGAGATATACCTAATGCTAGATGACACGTTAGTGGGTGCAGCGCACCAGCATGGCACATGTAACTAACCTGCACAATGTGCACATGTACCCTAAAACTTAGAGTATAATAAAAAAAAAATAAAAAAAATAAAATAAAAAAAAATAAACTCATTAGTGTAAATGCAAAAAAAAAAAAAAAAAAGATTTTTTTATTGATTGGTCTGTATAATCTAGAACCAAAAAAGCTTTGGGTGTGATGAGATTGTGCATTATTCAATATTACTAGGACCATACAACTTTAAGGATATTTTAAAATACAACCAATTGAATTTAATTTTTTATATGGTTTTAGCTGACTTCTAGCCCCAGTTTATGAGGACTTCCTCCAGATCTGATAAAATATGATTTAAGGTAATGAATGGAGGAAAATGCAACCAAATACTACAAGTTACATATGTGCATATAACTCAAGAACATTTTGTCTTGTAAATTTGACTCTAATTCTTTATTTTTAATGTCCCCAAGATATCTCATTATACAGCTAAACTATACTTACTTATTACTTATCATCATCCATTATATTTTCCAATTTTTCATCATAATAACTAATACCATGTTGTATTTGTTAGTTCATCAAAGAGTATAAGCATATACGGCTGTTGACAAGTACTGCTAAATTACCGTCCAATAAATATATACTCTCCAGCCACATGACCTGAGTGTTTGTTTCAACGATGATAACATTGACTGTTGTCACCAAAAAAGATACATACAGTTGCTTAATGGAAAAGTAAAAAATACATAAATTTTAAAAGGGGTGAAAGATATTATATTGTTTTAATTCTAATTTCTTTTACTATCATGACAAACTTTTTGTCTAAGCTTATTGGTCATTCACATTTCTCTTATAAATTATCTGTTCTCTGCTATTTCTAAATTTAAACATATATCATGTTTCTATTAATATATTACAATACTTTACAAATTACATATATTGACCCAGTGCCTTTAACATATTTACAAATATTTTTATACTTTGCCTTGTAGATTGATTTATAATACTTTGTTACATACATAAGTTTGTAGTCAAGTATTTCAGTGTTTTCTCTATGGTTTCAATAATGATGATGGATTGACAGGACATCCATTTGTATAATTTATTACATCAATAATTTTTGAAGACCCAGAATAGCCAAAAGAATCTTGAAGAAAAGAAACAAAGTTAAAAGAATCTTGAAAAAAAGAAACAAAGTTGGAAGGCCAACACTTCTTAAACTTCAGAGGTTACTACAAAGCTATAGTGATCAAGACAGTGTGGTATTAGCATAAGGATAAGCAGATTGATCAATGCAATAAAATTTAAAACCCAAAAATAAACCCTTACAGTTGTGATCAGTTGATTTTAGACAAGGGATCCAATACAATACAATTCAATGAGGGAAAAAATAGTCCAATAGTCTTCTTAACAAATAGTGCTGGAAAAAATAAATGTCTACATGCAAAAGAATGAATTAGGTCCCTTCCTCAAATCATACACAAAATTAGTTCAAAATGAATGTAAGAGTTGAAACTATGTAACTCTTAGGAAAAAGAAAACCATAGAAGTAAATCTTCATGACCTTGGATTAGGCAAGGATTTTTTTAGACATAACACCGTCAAAATCACCAACAATAAAAGAAAAAGACAGGTAAGTTGGACATCATCAAAATTACAAACTTTCATGCTGCAAGTGAAACCATCAGGAAAGTGAAAAGACACCCCATAGAATGAGCAAATATTTGCAAAAAGTATGTCTAATAAAGGATGAGTATCTAGAATAAGGAACCCTTAAAGCTCAATAATAAAAAATAAACAATCCAATTGAAAAATTGGCAAAGCATCTGAATAGGCATTTCTCCAAAGAAGATAAACAAATTGTCAATAAGTATCTAAAAAGATGTTCAATATCATTAGTCATTAAGAAATAGAAATCAAAACCATACAACTACACACCCACTTGGGTGGTTATAATCAGAAAGACAAATAAAAATGTGAATGAAATTGGAACTCTCATCCTGCTGAGGAGAATTAAAATGAGGCAGACGCTTTGGTCTGGAAATCCTTCAATATGTTAAACAAACATAGAGTTACCATATGACCAAGCAATTCCGTTTCTAGATGTATACCCAAGAGAAATGAAAACATATGTCCACACAATGACATGTTCACAGCAGCATAACCAAAAAGCAGAAACAACCTGCATGTCCATCAAGTGACAGTTAAAAAAAGTAGTATATCCAAATAATAAAATATAATTTGAGCATAAAAAGAATTGAAATACCGATACATACTGCAACATAAATGAACTTTGAAAATATCGTGCTAAGTAAAAAACTCCAGATATTCACAAAAAAATACAAAATGTTCACAATAGGCAAATATATAGGAACACAAAGTACATTAGCAGTTTCCAGGAGATAGAGGCAGGTGGAAATGGGGAGTGATAATAAATGAGCTTGGTGTCACTTTTTGGGGTGGTGAAAAAGTTTAAAATTAGATTGCAGTAATAGCTGTATAATCCTGTAAATACACAAAAAACTAGGTTGAGTTCTACACTTTAAATAAGTAAATAGTATGTGTGTGAACTATATCTCAATAAAGCTGTTAAAAAATAAATGCTGGAAAGCAATTTGATAAAATTCTAAATCTATTCATGATAGAAACAAAACTTTGCAAAGTGGAATTTAATAATTCTTTGACGTAATAGAGAATATCAAGCCAATATTATATTTCAGCACATTTAATAGTAAAATACTGGAGGCACCCTCATTAAACAGATAAAGCAGTGTACTAATATTTAACATATTTCTGGAATACTGAACCAATGCAATAAAACAAGAAAAAGAAATGACATTTTCAACATTCACAAGAGATATTTTCTGTATATAAAATTCAGTAGCTTAAAGAATAACTGTAAATTCTACACATGTTCATCCAAACAAAAAACTGAAGAGAATATTCCTCAACTCATTTTATAAGGCCAGTATTACCCTAACACCAAGACAAAACAAAGACATTACAAGAAAAAAAATTATGGTACAAAAGATCTCACCAACAATTTGCAAAAATTCTTAACAAAATATTAAGAAATAAAAAACAGCAGTACATTTTTTAAAATCATCATAATAGACTTAGAAAGGCAAGGTTCCTCACTATTTAAATATAAATAAATGTAATTCATTATATCAACAGACTAAAGGAAAATGAATATGATTATCTTAATATAAGTACAAAAGTCACTTAACCAAATTCAACATGCATTCATGATTTAAAAAAAAAAAAAAACACGCTCTCAACAAACTACAAATAGAAGGAAACTTCCTTAGTCTTATAATAGGCATCTACCAAGAAAATCTGCAGGTAGCATGATTCTTAATGATGAAAAGACTGAAGGCTCCACTAAGTTTGGGAGCAAGGCAAGGATGTTTTCTCTCAACATTTCTACTCAACATCCTACTGAAGGTCCCAGTCAGTGCAATAAGGCAGGAAAAATAAATAAAAGATAAGCAAATTGAAAGGAAGAAACAAAATTACCTCTATTCATGGACAATATGAAAGAACGACTAGAATTAATATGTGAGTTTAGCAAAGTTGCAGGTCAATATACAAAAAAAATCAATTTTATTTCTACATATTAGTAATGAATACTTTGAAATTGAATATTTTCAAAATATAATTTACAAAAGCACCAAAAATAAATATTGTATTATACTTAAGTATCGGTGTTTTTAAAAAAAAAAATGTGCTTACTCTGTATGCTGAAAACTTAAAAACACTGTGAAAGGAGTCCTAAACAATGAAGATGTATATTATGTTCATGGATTAGAAGACTTAATATTGTTAAGATTTCAATTATCCTCAATTATCTAGACATGTAACATACTCCAGTATATTTCCAGGACATCTTTTCTTTCCACTGCTCAGAGAGAATGTAAAGTGCAGAGATTCTTAATCTTTTTTGAATTACATATCTTTCAGAAGAAAATTTTAAAACAAAAAGGAAGCAGGGAGGGTACCTTAATGCAAGACAACATGAGCAAGGGGAAATAGGTTTCTATAGTTCATATTATTAAGGAATATTAGAGCTGCATCCCTGGAAATCACCTTGCCCAACACTCTGTATTACAAACGAAGAACTTGAGCCCCAGAGAACTGATGCAGCTTGTTAAAACTCATACAGCCTCACAATTTTTGGCACGTCCTGGCAAAAGATAATTCTCCTGAATATGTATCCAAATTACTTTTCCCAAAACACTACATTATATATATGTAAAGAGTGATTTCCACCTGCCTAGAATACTTTGCATCTTGAGACCATGAATCTTGTTTCTCACTCTGCAGCACTTACATACAGTAGGAAAGCAATAAAATTGTACTAAATTGCATTCAAAAATGCCCAATAAATTGGTCTATGCTGAGCAACTGATATTTGCTTATTCTCAGATGAGGTTAGTGCACTTCATTTGAAGTATGTATGGCCCAGGATTCTCTGGATAATCTGGAACCAAGAAATTACCTGGAGCTAAGAAAGTCCTTTACCTCACCAATGGCAAGGATGGAAAAGGAAAACAATTCAAAATCACTGCCACAAAGCATGCATCAGAGAAATCAAGGTTTTTTTTTTTTCCTATCTAAGACTTAAAGCTGAAGATAAACAAAAGAACCAAGCACCTCACTTTTTTTTTTTTTTTTTTTTTTTTTTTTTTTTGAGACGGAGTTTTGCTCTTCTCGCTCAGGCTGGAGTGCAATGGTGTGATCTCAGCTCACTGCAACCTCTGCCTCCCGGGTTCAAGCATTTCTCCTGCCTCAGCCTCCCAAGTAGCTGGGATTACAGCTGCCTGCCACCATACCCAGCTAATTTTTGTATTTTTAGTAGAGACAGGGTTTCACCATATTGGCCAGGCTGGTCTCAAACTCCTGACCTTAGGTGATCCACCCGCTTCGGCCTCCCAAAGTGCTGGGATTACAGGCGTGAGCTACCACAGTCAGCACCCACATCTCATTTCGTAATTCAGGGAATTTTCACTCTCAAGGCTACTGAAAAGTACCAATTCAGAGGACTACCCCTACTAAAAACTGGTACTCCTGTTCAGCCCTGCCAATATGAGAAGAAAGCTTGATGAAAAAAAATTGTCTAGGGCATTGCAGGGCTTGTGAAAAAGAGCTATCCCTTGCCTCATCTTAGGGAACTTCTCTTGCCCCTTAACTGAGAACAAATCACTTTATAAAGTTTGAGGGTATCAGCAAGATGGAGAGGCTGATATTTCATTCTGTGGCTGGAACTAGACATGAGTTGAGAAGATTAAGAGCTACAGCCTCCCCAGAACTGACACAGCAAGGTGAGAGGGGAATATAGGAGAAGCAAAGTGTGATGCCATCTCCTGGGAGTCAGCAGGAAGATGCAGCTGAATCTTCTAAGACGTCACCAATGACTTACTCCTCTAGATTAAGAGTTCCTCGTCTGCAAGGCATGTTTAGCAACTATTCACGTACTTGGAGTTCATGGACAATGAGCAAGAGCAGCCATCATGACCATCCAAGGGCAAGACTGCAACATGGCTCAGTCATGAAGAAAGTGTTCATTTTTCTTTTTTGTTTTTTTCCTTTCTTCTGTCCTAACATCTAAGAAATTACTTGCAGGAAGAACTGTGTAGAACTCTCTGAGAGCCAGTCCACACAACACAGATCCTCACTACAAGACAATAAAACCCCAGTATTGGTGGAGGAGAGAAGCACTACTTTGAATGTAATATGAGATGAAAGTTTTAAGTTGAAAGTACTGGATCTTAGAAACCAATATAAAACCACTTAAATAACTAACAGCAATAGAATTTCTACAACCAAGCCAAGCTATCATTAAGTGAGCCACTATCCGGGATGAAAAGTGAACTCAACATGACATGGGGGCAGAGATAAAGAAAGTAAAATGTTTCAACTTTATATATCCAACAAAATGCAGTTTGTCAATAAATTGGTTACATATATTGAAGTATTATATATATAAGTGAAACCCAAAAAGATTCTAAGTTTAAACTTCCCCTAGTTTCTCCCCACCTAACTGGTTTGTAAGCCAAAATTGACCACTGAAAAAAATTAGGTTCCTAAAACTCCTACACTGATCACAGCCTTCTCCATGACTAATTTCATATAAAACTTCTCATCTCATCCTGCTCCAAGCCATGCGAGTTTTGTGCTTTTGACTCACCTTTCCATTTACAACTTCATTTAGCTCTTAGACTCAACATTTGGCACAGCTTCCCTGGACATGACCTTTTGATTCTCCCTTCAAATATGATTCACATTTTCCTTCCAGTTCCAGAGCCTTCAATCATCCTGGGTCAATGTCTCACCTGATTTAATTTAACATCTGGGCTTGCAGGCTTCAGTGCCACCCCAGACTGCCAAAGCTCCCATTTGTGTTTTTTATCTAGACTAGGCCTAAGGAGTCAGACCATGCTAGAACATAAAGAGGGCTATTGCACGAGGGGGACAGTCTTTTTTTTTTTTCTTCTTAGATCCTAAGTTAGTAAGTTTGATGTTGTCTCCAACCAGTGCCCAGATCATCCCATATCTAAGGAGTCATTGCCTGGAAAGTATCAGACAGGGTTAGCCTCATTAGCACCAAGTACCATCCAGCACTGAGATAGTTAACCAGAAACATGTTCTAGCAGAAACCTAAGGTTTCATAGATAAACAAAAAGCCACTTAAAATGAGGATATGTGGATGGGGACTTATAACAAAGTACTATAGATTTTAATTTTAACTATATCAAATAGAAATGTAAATTTATTTACTAGTCTTATAATAATAAGGCCACAATTTTTTCTTTGACTCTTCTGATCAGAGTTCTGCTTAGTTCTTACTGTATAAACAATACACTTTCAAGCATCACCCATGATCTCTGGTTTTTGTTTCTTTAAAGTGAAGCCAGAACTTCAAGTCATTTATAAAGAAAGCTACATGGAAAAAAAAAAAAAAAGCTAAGTGCAGAATTCTAGATTTTTAGATTTTTTGTCAACATTTTTGTAGTGGTCTCATAACTATAAAATCAACAGCAGCTTTGTAAAGTAATCCATCTTTACTGAGTCCTTCAAAAATATTTCAAGTTTGTTTTCAAATAAACAGCAAACATCTTTTCACAATCATATTCTATTGCTTTATATATTAGCAAATTAAAATTTACAATTATAATTTCAAGTACAACTAGAATAAACAGGTTTTGGAATAAACTCAACTGGCTCTCTCAGTAAGCATACAATTTTTTCTGAGCATAATTGTACAGGCTTACTAGAAAGTAGCCTGCTAGTTATAAGTACTTGCTCTGCTAAGGGCATTAGTTAGAATGTCTTAGAGGGAATGAAAAACATTCACTAATCTGGCAAGTCAATTAAACAGACGCATGTTAAAAGAGCTTCTGCTATACACAATAATATTAATAATGATCATTTATAACATGCTTTATTGTTTACAGCATGCTATCACACACATTACCAGGCACACACAAAACACTCTTTGTAAATCCCCTTTTTACAAACGTTTACTAAATGTAAAAAACTAAAATTAAATCAAACGATGAATAGTTATTTTTATATTTATTTCTCATTCGTTTTACTTCACTTTAATTGCAGTGTCTTTAATAGCTTTGATCTTTCTCCAATTTCCTGAAATCTTCCCCATTTCAACAACTGACACAATTTAAGGTTTCTAGTAAACACAAAAAATGAGAAACATTGACATTGAAAAATAAATAAGTCAGTGAAAGTGATGATATGTTAAGAATTAAGATACTTCTATAGAATTGTATATTTAACTTCTTAGAATCAGGGAAAATTTCATGAAAAATGAACTCCAGGCCAGGTGTGGTGGCTCATGCCTGTAATCCCAGCACTTTGGGAGGCCGAGATGGGCAGATCACGAGGTCAGGAGATCGAGACCATCCTGGCTAACACAGTGAAACCCTGTCTCTACTAAAAATACAAAAAAAAATTAGCCAGGCGTGGTGGTGGGCACCTGTAGTCCCAGCTACTCGGGAGGCTGAGGCAGGAGAATGGCATGTGAACCCGGGAGGCAGAGCTTGCAGTGAGCCGAGATCGCGCCACTGCACTCCAGCCTGGGCGACAAAGCAAGACTCCATCTCAAAAAAAAAAAAAGAAAAGAAAAGAAAAAAAGAAAAATGAACTCCATATTACACTTGGAGTAAAATAATGGTCATTGGAATTGGACTTTTAAGAATGGATATAATTTTAATAACTGAGGAAATAAGTGGGTAAGGAAACGAATTTCCTCCAAAGTGAATGGCAGGAAGAGAATATAGGAAGGTATAGGGTGTGCTTTAAAGTGCAGAGTATACAAAAGAATACTAGCAAACCAAATCCAGCAGCACATCAAAAAGCTAATCCACCAACATCAAGTAGGCTTTATCCCTGGAATGCAAGGTTGGTTCAACATACACAAATCAATACATGCAATTCACCACATAAACAGAACTAAAAACAAAAACCATATGATCATCCCAATAGACCCAGAAAAGGCTTTCAATAAAATTCAACATCCCTTCATATTAAAAACCTTCAACAAACTAGGCATTAAAGAAGCATACTTCAAAATAGTAAGAGCCATCTATGAAAAACCCACAGGCAGCATCATACTGGATGGGCAAAAGCTGGAAGCATTCCCCTTGAAAACTGGAACAAGACAAGCAGGTTCTCTCTCACCACTCCTATTCCACATAATACTGAAAGTCCTAGCCAGAGCAATTAGTCCAGGGAAATAAATAAAAGGCATCCAAACAGGAAGAGGAAGTCAAACTATACCTGTTTGCAGATGATATGATTCTCTGCCTAGAAAACCTCATAGTCTCTGCCCAAAAGCTCCTTTATCTGATAAACAACTTTAGTAAAGTTTCGGGATACAAAATCAATGTACAAAAATCAGTAGTATTTCTATACACCAACAGTATTCACGCTAAGGGCCAAATCAAGAACCTAATTTTCTTCACAGTAGCCACAAAAAGAATAAAATGCCTAGGAATACAGATAGCCAAGGAGGTAAAAGATCTCTACAAAGAGAATTATGAAACACTGCTCAAAGAAATCAGAGATTACACAAACAAATGGAAAAACATTCCATGTTCATAGATAGGAAAAATCAATATTGTTAAAATGGCCATACCGCTCAAAGCAATTTACAGATTCAATGCTATTCCTATCAAACTACCAATGACATTCTTCACAGAATTAGAAAAAAATATTCTAAAATTCAGATGAAACCAAAAAAGACCCTGAATGGCCAAGGCAATCCTAAGCAAAAAGAACAAAGCTGGAGACATTACATTACTTGACTTCAAACTATATTATAAGGCTACAGTAACCAAAACAGCATGGTACCGGTAAACACACACACACACACACACACACACACACACCAGTGGAACAGAATAGAGAGCTGAGAAATAATGCTGCATATCTATAACCATCTGACCTGAGACAAAATCAACAAAAAACTAGCAATGGGGAAAGGACTCCTTATTCAATAAATGTTCCTGGGATAACTGGCTAGCCATCTGCAGACAATTGAAACTGGACGCCTTCCTTACACCACATATAAAAATCAACCCAAGATGGATTAAAGGTTTAAATGTAACACCTAAAACTATAAAAACCCTGGACAATAACCTAGGAAATACCATTCTGGACATAAGATCTGGCCAAAATTTCATGCCCAAGACACCAAAAACAATTGAAACAAAAACAAAATTGACAAATGGGATCTAATTAAACTTAAGACCTTCTGCCCAACAAAAGAAACTATCAACAGAGTAAACAGACAACCGACAGAATGGGAGAAAATTTTTACAAACCATGCATCCAACAAAGGTCTAATATCCAGAATATGTAAGTAACTTACAGATTTATAAGCAAAGAACAGTTGTATTAAAAAGTGGGCAAAGGACATGAAGAGACACTTTTCTACAGAAGGCATAACATGGCCAATAAGCATATGAAAAAATGCCCAACATCACTAATTATTAGAAAAATGCAAATCAAAACCACAATGAGATATACAATCTCACACCAACCAGAATGGGTATTATTAAAAAGTCAAAAATTAACAGATGATGGTAAGATTGAAGAGAAAAAAGAACACTGAATACACGCTGGTGGGAATGTAAATTAGTTCAGCTATTGCAGAAAGCAGTTTGGTGATTTCTCAAAGAACTTAAAACACAATTACCATTTAACCTAGCAGTCCCATTATTAGGCTCATACCCAAAGAAATATAAATCGTTCTACAGCAAAGTCACATGCATTCATATGTTCATCACAGCACTATTTACAACAGCAAAGACATGGAAACATCCTGAATGCCCATCAGTGGTGGACTGGATAAAGCAAATGTGGTTCATATAAACCATAGAATACTGTGCGGCCATAAAAAAGAATAAGATTATGTCCTTTGCAGCAACATCAGTGGAGCTGGAGGCCATTATTCTAAGCAAACTAACACAGGAACAGAAAACCAAATACCACATGTTCTCACTTAGAAGTGGGAGCTAAACATTGAGTACATATGGACACAAAGAAGGCAACAACAGACACCAGTGCCTACTTGAGGGTGGAGGGTGGGAGGAGGGTGAGGATGGAAAAACGAGTACTATGCTGATTGCCCGGGTGACAAAATAATGTGTACACCAAATCCTCACAACATGCAATTTATTTACCCATATAACAAACCTGCACATGAACCCCTGAACCTAAAATGAAAGTGAAAAAAAAAGAGAGGAGAAATAAAACAAATAAAATGAAGAGTATGTGCTGGAGCAGTAAGAGGAAACTCGGCAAGCACTGATTCAGAACCCTGCCTTAGAGCAAAACTCTAGCAGTCCCAGAGTGAGTCAGTGAGATCCAAAAGGCCCATTTCTGAGAGACAGATGAGTAACTCTCTCCAGAAGCCACCAACGTGGATATTATTGAGTTTAGATTTTCTGAAGCAAACTGAGAGAGATTTATCTTTTCTGGGTCTGGTGGTTTTAAATTTTTGAAACCATAGCCTCAAAGACAGGAAAACAGAATCGTCAGTCAGAGGGGGCCACCCATGCAAAAGCGTGAAGCCTCTAGCCAGGCCATTTATTCTGGTCGTGTCTTTGGGCACAAGACAATTGTTTGGGATGAAAACTTGGGAATCCACAGCAAGTGTAACATAATATAGACATTATTGTGAAGGAAAGTTTGCTTTTCTAGTGATCAGGCTTTCCGATAATCAAAGGGGTGATGTGACCAAGCCGTATAATATGGGGTTCCTTTTGGCAAAATTGCTCAGCGAACTATGTAGATGAAATGTCTTTCTCTTCATAGGATATTTTAGAATTTAGTTTACTATAAAGTATGAACTCTAAAGTTAATAAACAGGGTGGCACTTGGTGCCAAGGATTAAATATTTACTGGTAAAACATACAGTGATGAAAAGGATTTTCAAACAGGCAATAAATCATATGGTCTGAGCTCTGTATTAAATATTCTTTTTACCAGGGAAAAAAATAAAATTTAGCCCAAGAAAAAAATTAACCCATTGTTGTGGCTCCCTGGGGCTGAACTTATCAAGAACCAGTAAATATTCCTTTGAAAAACCAGGTAAATAGCAAGATTTTATTTAATCTTTGTAATGATTCATTTCTTTAGTGAAATAAAGAATGTTAACATCCCATCCTTCAGGTACCCATGGTTGATTCTTCCTTCCACAGGCCTCTCCCTTCCAGCCTTTCCTATTTTACCCACCTGGTCTACTTTTAAGAGTCCAATGGTTAAGAGCACATGTCCTACCGCAAGTCTGTCTGGGTTCAAATTCTGATTGCCAATTCCTAGCTGTGTTACTTAACCTTTCTGTTCTTCAATTTACTTATCCACAAAAGCAATATATTAATAGTACCACCCTATAAGCTTCTGTAAGAACTAAATGATTAAACGAGTTAATATGTACACAAAAGCACTTAGAACAGTCTAGAAAGTAGTAAATTCTTCATATTATTATCCTTTATCCTCCTTTTTAATTATCCAAATATTTTCCATCTTTCAAAACCCAGTTTAATTCTGTAATGAGCTTTCTTTGGTTAATGCAAACCTTCCCTAAATATGCATATCCTTTTAGGCCTGCACCTGTCTTTTTTGATATCTAATTGCATCTTATGCACTATCCCAAATTGTTTTATGATTTTCCTAACAGATCAATCTCCTAAATAGAGGACAAGGAATAACTTTTTAAAAATTTCTTTCATCTGGATATGCCTTTAGGAAAAGGATGACATCAATAGTAGCGTCCACAAATTTTGCATTTATGGAAAGCATACTATGTGCATTCTGCAGAAAACTGAGCACACAGTTTTCCCCCATCCTCCAACCTGAATAGTGAGAGAGGTGGGTGCAGGGTGTAAATCATGTTTCCTGTGTGTTGGCTGACACTTGGCCTGAATAGATATGCTCTTGATAAACCATTATTTAAGATTGGTCGGTGGATGGATGGTTGGATGGATGAATGGATTAATATAGGACCTGAGGGGGAAAAAATCCTGAAGAACAAAAGAGAAGACTTTGCCTCTGGAAATGATTTACTATGGAAAGCAGGAGTACATTTTAGAAGATATCTGCTTCACATTATCTGTAAGGCACAGGAAAAGACTATGAAAAAAGAATGAGTTGAGATAAAAACCCAACAGGCAAGATGTTGGTTAGGAATATTGAGTCAAGACATTCATTGTAGTTGGAAAGTGGAGGAAAAAAGAAGGCCACAGAGGCACAAAGAGGGAAACAGAGAGAGGAGGACAGAGAAAGAGAGAGAAACTGATACTGTAATACTGCTCCGCATTGTAATTCTATTTCGTTTAAACGCAGCATTCATGGAGAGCTGCTAAGTGCTTTTCTATAGCCTGAAACTTGTGTTCCTAATTAGACTTATTTATGCACAACACTAAGAACATGCAACTGGTGGAGACAATAGAAAGAAACGGGGGAGCAATCAAAGGTCAATGCTTTGCCTGGGTTAATAGAGATAATAGTGGCTGAGTGCTATGTTCTCCACTTTCTTTATCATCGTGAAGACAAAAAACCCTACTCAGCATAATATAAAATCATAGGTCATGATCAAGATCATTTGAGACATATCCCTGGAGCTTCAAGATAGGGAGGCATTCTTTCAAATCACATCCAAAATGATTTTAAAATAGGTCTCCAGAGGGGTAGATTCTAGTGTGATAAATAGGACCTGCAAATGGAACTATTCTGCCAATCATATTTCTACCTGAAATCCTATATACTGTGAAGGGGATTCAACAAGTGAAAGTAAGGTACAGATTGGTGAGAAGATCTCACGTGAAACTCAATGCGTGGAAAGTTGTAAGACCTGAATTTTAGTTCCATCCTTTTCTGTTAATTTCTTCAGCAATTCTACCCCAGTCATCAAATTTCTGAGGCTTGTTTTCTGGAGCATGAAAAGAACAAGCACAAGCCGTAGGTCCCAAAACAAAAGCGGGAACCACTAACCATTCACCAGGACTTTATAAGGTACAAAGCACTATGATATACATTATTCCTTCTAGAGGTGATAGATTTGAATGGTAAATACTTAAAAGATAAGTTTTTAAATTAACTATGGGATTTCAAGTGAGGATAGAAATTATGCAAATACGCTAGTTTGCTTCCTTAGCACCACTTCCCACAGCCCCATCTAAATCCTCTTGCAAATTAAACTCCTATAAATGTTGAACCTCCTAACTCGATTTCAGAGTTTCCTGGTTTCTTTTATGTATTCTGCATAAATACAAACTTATTTCTGTTTGACCATATCAATACACCTTGCAAACAGCTTTCGCTCAGAGATCATAACTCTGTGGTCTCATAATAACAACTGAAGTCTACAGACCCTGTGGCTGAAAACAATGATCATGATGATGGTGATTAACACTATGTTGAAAATGGTAATAGTGATGGACTCCTACCATGAATCCAATGGAAGGTAGCTCTAAGGCTGCCTCTGTGGTCTGAGTTTCCAATCTTCCATGAGGTTCCACTTAAACACACAACAGATGCACAAAAAGCCTCAGCAATTGCCAAATTGTATTATTTTAAATAGCAAACCAAATCTGCAAGCCTTAGGCAAAAGTTTTCACAAAGCGCATTGGGAAGAACGCCAGCTTAGATGATGGTAGAAGTTTTGATTAGGAGTTTGCCCACATCTTAAATAAATAAATAGCAACCTTCCTTACCACCCAGAATGGTTTTTCTTTGAATGGGATTATTCCTCAGTGGAAAGACAAACACTGAAATTTGCAGCAGAGGTTTTCTATGCCTTGAGATTAAACTATAAGAAATAAACCTGGAAAAGGAAGGGGTAGAGGAAAGAATAGCTCCCTGTTGGACACTGCCTGTCCTTGGTCTACATGCCCACAATAAATCCTGCCATCCCCATGCTCTTCGCTCAGCCTGGGGTGGACCTCCTCCCATCGTTTTGCCTCCTCGTAAATGCCTCATGGACCCTCAAAGGTCCCTTTTCTATGAAGCTTGTATTCAGTGCCCCCATCATTGTCCTTCTGTCATAGCCTGTATATCTGACTGTATTATAGCTCATCTCAGGAGGCAAGGCTACTCAACCTGGAGTCAGGATTCCAGACTTCCAATCTAGGCTACCAATTTGTAAAATTGGAATAATAATAACTGCCTTTTTAGGGTGTAGTAAAAAAGTAGTCTGTGTCCAGGGCTTTATGCAGTACATAGACAAAATCACCAAGCAATAAATTGCTTGCTTTTACCACGTTTTTCATTTATATATTTGGGTATAGTTTGTCATTTGTGTATCCCCAGCGTCTAACATGGTACCTAGCACAGTGCAGGCATTTAAAATATTTTTTGTCATTTAACAAATGAATGAATATGTACAGTGCTTCACACTTTTAAAAGAATTTCCACATTTATGGTCTCATGGGCTCCTCATACTAACCCTCAGAGAGAGGTAAAGCAAGCCCAGGACCCCTTCCTTGGAGGGAATGCTCTCCTCTAGCTCCATGGACATCGGCTGGGCTGCCAATCATGAGACACATTTCTCCTGAGTGCAAGGTAGAGCACATGGCCAGACTGAGCCAAATAAATGATTTCTAGCAAGGTTGCACTTTGAAGAAAAAAAACAAGGGACTAAAACCTGTTGGAGCTACTTTAGTCAATAGTAGCATTGCTGGAAAATTTTACCAACTGCTGGTACTGAAATTCCAGGAGCTGCCTTATCCAGCCCTTCCTGAGGTCTGGTTGTTGAGTGCTTCCTCTGAGTCTGAATAACACTAGATCCTTCTAGCGAATGTCTTTCTTTATAAACCCAAGATCAGTTTCTAATGCTTAGAAGCAAAGAGTCCTAAAAATAAAATTAAAATCTCCGATTTACCGTAAGAAAACTAAAACTCTAGAGTTGAAATCATTCATGTAAATTCCAAAACATACAGAATTTAGTGATGTATTTTTTAGGAACACATATATAGGTAATAAAATTATAACAAAAACAAAGGAGATGAAAAATACAAAAGGCACTGGAGAGTGCTTATACTTAGGAACAAGGAAACAGAAAATGATCAGGAGAATCAGATAAAAGTCATGGAAGACTCTTGTAATGTTCCCTTAAGCTAGAGGATGAGGTAAAATGTGATGTATTAATCTTGTATGCACATGTGTGTGTGCATGAATATATTAATATATTTCATGTATAGAATATCTCACAGTGAAATTATTTTTTCATCAATGAAATCAAAGGCCCAAAGAGGTTAAATGATATGTAAAAAGCAGAGTGGCAAATCATGGCTAGAACCCAGGCTTCCAGTGGTTTCTCCACTCTGTCCTAATTTATTGTAACTATGAGCTGCTACTCCCATAGTATGGAAAATGGGAAATAGCACATGGGACCTTTTCAACTGAATTTAGAATGAAAAGCTGCGGATTAATAGCTGACCTATAGTATTAGAAAGACTTAAAATGGGCTTTCCATTCCTTGCGAAAATCACTCTTGGAAAAAACCTCAGAGACCACTTGGTTCAACTCCAGGGCAATGTCCTCTCCCTCATTGACAGTGGGCCTGCAGTGAGTGGGCACCTCCATGTCCATGAGCCTTCTGCAGCTATACTGCTGATCACAAGATATGTGTACATCAGCCCTGGCCTTTCCTAAAATCAATGAGCATCAGACCAGCAGCATATCAGTGGTTTCCTCCCTATATCTGTTGTCCAAGTGCCTGGACATGAATAGGAAGTGTTGTCAAGAGCACTGTCTATTCCCTTTGTGTGGAGCAAGACTGGACCATCTAACAATCTCTGCCCCTGCCTTTGCCAGTGGAGACAAAAACCCAGGCTCAACACTGCAGCCACAGTGTGAGGTCACCGGAGTCCCTGACTCCTTCTTCCTGAGTTTGGACCTTCATCCTGGTTTCCTGGCATTCGCTCAAGTTTCTAATTTAAAAACTTGAATTCTCACATGATGGAAGAGCCATAATTCAGAAACCTTGAAATGATCTTTGATCAGATCCATCAGACGTGCTAACTTGCACATAATTTTGCCTCAGACCTCTTGGACTTGTCCCATCGGGCCTGAGCTGATGCCCCCATCAGCCTTAGAAGGAGGCTTTTTCTCTCCAGAGTTTCCCAGTCTCCAAGTACTCGGTACTTATTGAGTTTTTGGTCCCCTGTTAAACATGTACAAATGCAACTAATTCTATAATCTGGCCTATATCTCCCTATTTTCTTGACTACAATATCAAAACAGATTTATCCTAAACATGCCCTAAGTTTCAGATTTATGTGTCTAACAATTTTCCTAATTTACCAGTCAAATAACTATTAAAATGATAGCAGCTCACAGCTACATTAACTGCTCCTAGTGAACCCATTCTTGGTCCCAGTGCCAGGAACTTCTTTTTTGATTATTTGAGAATCACACATTTAATAATCTGTTTTAAAGGGTCCTAGATGTCAATGCCAAATTTACTATCTATCATTTGCAGACTGTTCCCCTTTAAGAAAATAGGACAATATTGTCTATTGCTAATATTTCCCTGAGACTTCCTGATTCCTTAATGCTGTTTTAGTCTTCAGATTATTGTTTTCAGCTGTAATTTTTCTTGGTACTTTAGGATGTAACTAGTCTGAAGTGAGACATTGTAAATAGCCAGGGGCTTACTTCCAATTCCTCACTTGTGTTTTAATTCTCTATACATGATGTTATCATTATCAAGTCATATGATACAGTAGACACGGCATCAAACTGAGCATCACAAGATCTAAGTTCTAGGTCTATCTCTGCCATTCATAACTGTAGGCAACTCTCTTAATCTCTCTTAGCCTGATTTTCAATATCAATTAAATTTGAACAATACCACCTGTTCTGCTTACCTTGTGGGGTTGTTGAACGGTTCAAATGAGATGTTTTATGCAGCAAGATTTTGTAAACTACAAAGCGTTATACAAATAGAAAGCATTACTATCCCCCACCCCCCCCCCCCCCCACTTTCTGGGCAATAGGCCATTTCCCTTGATGTAGAAGATAGAAACTTGTGTTGGATGCAGCACCTTTCCATGTGGCCAAGTCCTAATGAGCACAGGCTCTCTCTTACTCTTGCCAGGTTCTCAACTTTTGTCCTGAACCTTTTTGTGTTTGCCCCATCTCAGTCTACTATCTGACCTACTGCTGATCTCCTGGGGCCCTAACCCCTAGACATATTTCCTGTCTGTGGTCTAAAATTCTCCCCCAACAGCTGATATTTGATATTGAGTTCAGTGCTGCCATCTTTGAAGGATGAGAGTGGCAGAAACTTTGGCTCTTCTGGTACTTCTTATGTGGCAGGAGATGGGCCTGCAGACCCAAGGCTCAGGCCAAGGCACATAGTCAAATGACAAGCTCCAGCTCTGGTGACTTTATTGACCAAAAGGGCCCATGCCCGTTTGTTGTCCTTATCCAGGACACATTTTAAAAAGGGCTTTTTATTACCCAATAAGTCACAATGACAAAGTCCAAAAGCAAAGATTCGGTACTATTCATGCTGAGAATGGCTATTAGCTTTCTGTAGCTATATTATTTTATCTATTTAGGATGAGGGAATTCCCATGAAGCCAAATCACCAGCCAATGTTTTTAAAGCTTGAGCCACTATTTTTCTCTATGAAAACTAACTGAAGGTAAAGAAACAAGCCTCATTCCCTTCCCATGCCTGAGGCAAATATTTCACTGGCAATTGGAAAGTGATCTCTTCACCTGGTGCCAAACACTCTCCCAGAACCTTCTTTGGCTTCAAAGGGCTTTACTTCATTTCCGCTGGAGCCCACAAAAGGGCTTGAGAAGCAGTCGTCAAGTCACAGGAAGCCAAGGGGGCTCAAGGGAGTATAAGATCACAAAATTACAAATGGGTGGGAAAGATGGAGTATGTGTGTGCATATATAAAAATTATCTTAATAAAAGGTAGAATGAAGATTCAGTGAAGCTTGCTCTGGTTCCTAAGTAATTTGGTTCTGGAAGCCCTATTCATTGGTTGGGCTCCATCAGATAAATGAGAAAAGCAAAGGACCCCTGGACAAGCCAAGGCAGAAGCAGACTCCCCTGCTCAGACAAGCCTTCCCACATGCGGCCTCAGGGCCTGCAAACTACAGTTGACTTCTCCAAGGATCCTGTTACAGTACCAGCCCTCCAGCTGTCTGCAGCTGTGTGCCTTCCAGCCCCTCACAGCTGGCTTTTCAAATAGAAATGGCCTCTCTAAGACAGTTTACCAGAAAACATTGTTTCAATCGCGCAGTGTGTTAAAACATGATTCTAAAAGCAGCGATTACATGAAATGAATTGCAATATTAAATATGAAGGTGCACTTGGCCCAATGCATCACATGTGGTAGGTACTCAGTTGAGTGGCAGATTTTTTTCTTCATTTCTTCATCTCCTCTACTTTTTATTCACATCGAATTGCAGACCGGTTGGAATACTGTAAAAGCATTTTCCCTGGGGAGCTCTGGACGTTTCATAGGTATGCTCATTTGTGTTTGCATGGTGTATACATATGTGGGTTCCTGAGTTTGTGGAGGGGGTACAATGCATCTGCAGTTATATGTGTGCTATATAAAGCATGCCTCAGTGTTTTTTTAAAATATCAATCATATGTATTCCAAATGCGTAGTTCACGACCATGTAGGAGGGGAAAGGGCTTAAAGGCTTTTCCGGGTGAAAACAGCCTGGGAGTTGAGTTTCATGCTTTTATAAGGTAGATTGGGTTGGGTTCAAGATAATAACTGAATTAGAAGGAAGTCATGGAGCAAACAATAGTTCACGCTGTATCCTATTTTCATTTAAATCAGAGGCTGTTGCTTTCATCTGTTCTTATTGACACAGTTCAACTATTGACTTCTTGTTGCTTTGAATATGAGGCTCACAAGCCCAGGGGGATCTCACTGCATAAACAAATGGGGGGGAGCGGGTGAGGGGCGTGTTGTTGTTTTAAATGCTATACACTTCCAACTTGTCCATTTTTGAAAGGTGAGTTCTTAAGTTCATGTCTATGTTAGGCTGTTCGTTCTGAGCACAGTAATTTTAACAGACAATGGTGGATAATTTTTAAATATGCATTTGTATTAGTTCTTTCTACTTCTTTTTCCCATTTACTTATCCTCCAGGAACTCAAACTATGGTTTATTTATGGTGCATTCACCTTTCCTTTCTCTGTTTTTTCTTCCCTTTTCTTCTTCCTACCTTCCTTTCTTTCTTCTTTCCTTCTTCTTCCTTCCTCTTCCTTCCTGCCTCATTCTCACTCATTTGTTTCCCGAACACTGGCTTTTGATTCATGACGCAACCTCCCTTTTGCCAGATCACATAAATCAGGCAGCTTCTTTTCTTTTTTTTTGTAAAACACCTTCTTCCAAACTGTGTTTTCCTTCTGATTTAACTTTTCAAGAGTAGTCGGTCTCAGGGTGACTGAGAAACCTAGGTATGAGGGAAGTGAATGACAAAAGATGGTTTGGCAAAGTCACAGCTCCCCCACCCCGCCCCAACAATGAATCTCGCCAAAGCCCTTTTCAAATCTGGAATTATTTTCATGCAGCTGAAGAAGGTCGAGTTGTTGAGTTGCTCCTTCCGGCTTCTTTAGTTCTCTCCCCTCTCCCGGCCTCCCCAGCCCACCTGTCTTCCTCACTGAGTAGAGAAACAGAGCTCAGCAAATTAAAAGGAGGAAGCAGATAATGTAGGAAGAGCTGAAAACTCAAGGGAAAACAATAAAACATTTTGAAGTTTTGGGGTCAGATACAGAATCCAGAATAAGGTGCTTAGTATTTTTCCTACATTGCAAACCCTTTGTCTTTCTAAGCTACTCTGGCTGGCCTGCTCTCAGGCTGTGAATTCTGTTATCCCTGGTAGAGCCCCAGCCTCAGCGGATTCCACCTACATTCCTTCACAGCCCTGTTTGGGAGGGGGGGTCACGGGGGACTCAGGGGAGGGGGAGGAAGGGCAGACCCTGGGGATTGTCGGACATACAACACTGCTCTGCACCACAGCTAGGATTTTAGCCTATTTGTTTTGAAGTTCGCCCAAAGTCGCAGAGTTGAAATGCCTGAATTCAATACCACTTCCCCTCACCACACACTCAGCCAAATGTCCTTGGCTTTTCAATAGACCTAACCTCTTGGCACTATTGAGTCTTGATGTTTTGCATTCTCGTTTCTTAGATTTTTAACCCTCAACTTTCCCTTCTCTGGGTTAAGCTTCATAAATCACTCAAATGTCTTACTGCCTGGGAAGAAATGCTTCCTTCCTTCCCTGCTTCCATCCTTCCTTCTATCTTTTCATGCTTTCATCCCTCCTTCCTCCTTTCCTGTCTCCCATCATTTTTGCTTGCTTTCTTTATCTTACTTTTTCAGAAGGGGAAATGGAAAGCAGTGGAGGAGGCCTTGGAACCCTCCCTGGAATGTGGCATCACAGGGATGGAGCCAATGTGGAGTGGTGGGAAATGGAGAAGTGTAAACATGATGCTTAGCCAGTCTGCCTAGAGAACAGAATTCTCTTTTTCATCTCCCCAGTTCCTTTTTGGTATATTTGTTGAAGTAGCTGCAGAAAGCTAAAATCTAATCCTTGTCCTTAGGATTGTCCCAGCCTTTGGCATTGAACAGTCAAGCGTTGCCCTTGAGTAGCAAAAAGGGCTTATTGTCCATTTGTCCCTTTGTGCTCTTATAAGTGCTTTTCTAGAGACCTTCTTCTTCTCCTGGCCATGTCTACCATGGCCAAGTTCCTTAGTTTACTTCCAGCTAGGATTGGTGTTAATTTTTAGAATTTAGGTGTTTTTCATAGGTTTGTCTTCACTTTTTAACCATTTGGGTCTTTAACCCTAGAAATCCCATAAGACTTGCCAAAGTTCACAATCCTAGTGATAGGCACAGCAGCAGAAAGCACCCATGCATCCTACTTGTGCTCACATACAGGCTGCATCTCACTCAAGATAGTGGAGAAATTATTCTAAGTTAACCAGCAAGTGTAATTGTTATGGTTTTAATGTCCCATCCAAAACTCATGTTGAAATGTAGTTGCCACTGTGACAGTATTAGAAGGTGGGACCTCTAAGAGGTGATTAAGTCATGAGGGCTTCACCCTTATAAATAGCTTAATGCCATTATCTCAAGAGTTCACCCCCTTTTTTCTCTCTGTCTCACATGCTCACTTCCACCTTCTGCCTTCTGCCATACTATGATGCAGCATGAAGGCCCTCGCAAGATGCTAGTGCCATGCTCTTGGACTTCCCAGCCTCTAGAACCACACAACAAATACATTTTTGTTCATTATAAATTACTCAGTTTGTGGTATTCTGTTCTAGCAGCAGAAAATGAACTCAGACAGTTCTTTTACACGTAAAAATATTTTTCATAAAACTGACCAGTTGTAAAATCATAGAATTGATCCATTAGTTTTGTTGGGTTGTTTTTATTTGTTTGTTTATTTTTTTCATCATAAAGCTAAAGATGAGTCAGAAATGCCAAGTTACTATTTCTGGATCTCTACAGTTCTGCAGCAAGAAGCTATTTTGCAAAGTTCTTTTGCAACTAGCTTGTTACGCTATCCTTCATGAATATTCTCCATAGTGATTATGGTTACCCTTATTGAGTACTTGCTATGTATCAAGCAATGTGCTAAGGGCTTTACACACCAAGAGACAATCAAGGTATGTTGTATTATGATTCGTTCCAAATGTACCACTGTTAGAGGCCCAGAAACCACTTCCAGCCTAGACAGAGTAGTGGTGGTTCTGTGAGAAGCTAACTTTGAACTTTGTGGTGTTCCACTTTAAATCGCAGTGCCACAATTGGGGACTATGAACTCACAGCTACGAAAACATAAATACAAACATTCATTATCTTCTCTCTGCTAAAATGTTGATACTTTGTCAACATGAGAGGCTCAAATCATCCACCTCTCAACTCTAGGTGAGAAAGAAAATACGTGAATGGTGTGGAATATTTGCAGGAAACATCAGGTCAAACAAACCTTGAGAATTTACTTTGTTCCAAGACCCAGTATACTGGTTCCATATTCGATAATTTCTTATACTTAGAGACCCAGATTTCCCTGGCATTAAATCTATCTGTATTCTTGATGTTGCTTTCCTTTTACATCCCCCACTTCATTAGTCAGAAATAATATGGCCAAAGAAAACGCAGGATTAAGCCATTCCTTAGTGCTTCAGAGTTCAGTGGCACTCTTACTATTGTGGTCTCTATGTTCCACCAGTTTATTGAAATTGTTAGGGTATTCCTGAATGACATTATCAGATCTCTGCCTTTTGCTCAGTTTCTAGCTCCAAATCAGAGGAAGCCCCATCTAGTTCTCTACATCAGTTGATAAGACTTGCTACAACCCACACCATCTAATTAATTTGGTCTTACCCCTAGATGTAGAGTGTGTTCATCCCAATCTGAGTAACTCCCAAAACCAAGATCTATTTAGAGTCTACTCACTGCCAGAATTGAGTGATGAGAACCAGAAAGGGCAGAAAAAAGAGGAAAGTCCTCTCTGGAAACAGTTATACCAAGAAACACTTTTCCAAGCAAACAGTCGATACAGATAGGGCCTGTTATTGAAGCAGGAGCCAGAGGACACAGAGGAAAGTAGAGATAAGGTGGTCTTAACACGCAGGAAGCTTCAACACTAAGAGGGAGGTATGGGCAGAATCAGGATGCACATACAAAGACACAGAACACAAAGAAAACATACTTTTAAATAAGTAAATTGCAAACTATATGCATAAGTTGTCTCTCTTCTGTCTACCCAGAGATGAAATCAGACCATGAGCTAAAGTATGAAGCCAGGGAATTGACAGACCAAGCAGCTGACTTCACCACCTTGGCATAACTTTTTGGACTCTTGAGTTTGAACAATCTATATTAATTTTTAACTGGGAAGAAAATAAGTGAAATATTATGCCCAAAGAACTAAGACGATAATTTCACTGGTCTCCTCTAGAGTATTCTTCGAATAAGGCCACAGTGTCACAATGCTACATTTTCTAACCTCACCTACCCATCCTCCAGGGCCTTTTCTCCATATTCATGTGGAATAGGTGCGATCCTTCCTTCCAACTCCTTCTTCTGGGACTCCGTGCTTGGGAAAGTTGACATTTGGTATGCAAAGTGATTCAGACCTACCTGATGAGTTGGTTCTTTTTCAATTCCAATTGGGAACATTGGGCCTACCCCCATCCTTCTTTGCAGGCCTGCTTCCCTCCTCACCTAACCAATGGCACAGAGGGAGACATTTAAAGCAGGTCTCAAAATGGAATCTCAAGGAAAAGATGCAGTGACCTCAAAGAAAAGGCCATGCAAATGAGGACAGAGATTGAAACAGGAAATATGATGCAAACCTACCAAAAAGAGGCTGAAAAGAAAAGCTAGAAGGGCTGGGCAAAGAAAAGCCCGAGAGTTTGAGAAAGCGAGGTTGAAGAAGGCAGAATAACAGTTTCTACTCTAACAATGGTGGGTGAGTTTACTTCCACTAAAGCACAAATGTTACAAGAAAGGGGTCCCAATCCAGATCACCACAGAGGGTTCTTGGACCTCGTGCAAGAAAGAATTCAGGGCGAGTCCATAGAGTAAAGTGAAAGCAAGTTTATTAAGAAAGTAAAGGAACAAAAGAATGGCTACTCCATAGACAGAGCAGCCCCGAGGGCTGCTGGTTGCCTATTTTTATAGTTATTTCTTGATTATATGCTAAACAAGGGGTGGATTATTCATGCCTCCCCTTTTTAGACCATATAGGGTAACTTCCTGATGTTGCCATGGCATTTGTAAACTGTCGTGGAGCTGGTGGGAGTGCAGCAGTGAGGACAACCAGAGGTCACTTTCGTTGCTATCTTGGTTTTGGGAGGGTATAGCTGGCTTCTTTATTGCAACCTGTTTTATCAGCAAGGTCTTTATGACCTGTATCTTGTGCTGACCTCTGTCTCATCCTGTGACTTAGAACACCTTAACCATCTGGGAATGCAGCCCAGTAGGTCTCAGCCTCATTTTACCCAGCCCCATTCAAGATGGAGTTGCTCTGGTTCACACGGCTCTGAATAAAGACTTTTTAAAAAGACCACAACTGGAACATGAGAGTACTGACTGAGAGCTCAGGCTTTTGAGGCAGACAGGACTGGCTTTTATTCCTAGCACAGCTACTCATCGGCTAGGTGACCTCAAGCAGGTTGTTGAGCCATAAGCTCCTATCTGCAAAATGGAGATTATCATACCTGCACCATAGGAATGTTTTGAAATTAAAATTAGCACTTGTATAGCACCTACTATGTGCCAGGCACTGCTAATTAATTAACTTGCCCAAGATCACACAGCTAGAAGTGGCATGGTGGTGATGTGAACTCAGCAGTGATCCTGCTTCTGTCTGTGCTCTTATCTACCATGTCTCTCAATATAATGCTCGTAAGTCATTCGGCCCCAGTGCTTGGCATGTGATAATAGTGCTATAAATGTCAGCTGTCATCTTATTATGATTTTTCTTACACGGGGCATAAGAAAAATCTTCTTGTCAATAGAGAGTAGGAGAGGAAAAAGAGGGTCTGGAATGCCGTACCTGGACTTTGCATGCCAGAATAGTTTTTCTAGGACAGTTGAGAAAGGACTCACCAAAGAGATATGTTGCTTTTCCCAGGAGATGTGTCTGGCTCACACAGTGTTTATTGGCTTAGCATTATGGTCTTTTTTTGTTTTTCAAGACTGACCCTGGGTTCTAAATCTCAATGTAGAATTATAGATTATCCTCACCCTCTCATTTAATAAACAATTGAAGATCCAGGCTATAGTATTTAATTACAGAAGATACGTGAATTGGCAACAGGGCCAACACTTGAACCAAAGTCTGTCGATGCCCAGATAATGCTCTCTCCTAAACCTATATGCAATACATATGCCGAATTTTCTAGATTTCAAGATTTCTTCCCCATTGTCTGCAAATATGCAGTCCTATTTGGCCAAATAAGAGATTTAATTACTGATTTGGAAAATGTAGTTACGAAGGTGATTCATCGCGTGGAAAGACAGCTACAGAGCATCTCTTTTTGCCTTTAGTGGTCTTGGGAAGGGGGATGGGAGGTGGCTTAACTCAAAATGTCCCTAATTACCTTCCACAATCCTCTTGGTCTTCGATGGTCCTGAGGTTTGGAGGCCTGTTTGCTAATGTTGACACCCAAAAGCTCACATTGAATTAGATTGTTAAAATGCTCCAGAGGGGACCTGAAACACCGAATCAGGGACCTCCTCCTATTCCCCCAAAAATATCCTTTGCCTTTAAGGGCTTTTTTTTTTTTTTTTTTTTTTTAAAGCAAGCGAGTTTTCTCTGATCCTCCTCAATAAAGTGCCCCAGCAGCAACAGCAGCAGCGCTCCCCTTCCTTATTTGAGATCTGTGCAGTCTCATTAAATCTGATGTGTCACAGAGGGCTCGGATATGTGAAAGGCAGGCTGTGGGAGCAGGCCTGGAGGTTGCCAGCTTTGCTAAGGAGACGTAATTCATTACAGCTTTTCAAAATGGACGCCCCTCTGGCTTCCTGCTCCATTGATTTTTCCCCCTTTGCAAGTAACAAGTGAAGGGCCAGCTCAGCCTGCAGATTTAACCCTTATTAACAGCTGTTTAAATTAGAGATGCGGTTTGATGGAGAGACAGGAGCCTTCTTATATCCCCACTCAAAGGAAACGGAGAAGAGACGATTAAAGATGAAAGCGCGCAGGCGTCTGGTGCTAGGCTGGCGATGCGGCACCTACCCCCGTCTGAGGAGGGGCTAGCCCTGCTATTAAGTAGTTTATCCAAATAATGTGCTCCTACTTTTCCCCGATTAAATATTCATGGCCTGCTCGTTCCTCCCTCCCCACCCCCGCCCTTGAACAGTCATGGAGGAAGGAGTGTCTGCTGCGCAGTGTAGGCGAGGACTGCTCGGACTACCCCGAGCTCCGAGGCTAAGGGCTGCCTCTTCGGAGAGCTCGAGGGGCAACTCGGACGACCCGCCTCGCCGGGGGCTGCCCTGGGACCTCGGAGTGAAGATGTGGATTGCTTTGGTGCTCTTGAATGGAAGACCCTGAACCAGGCCAACCTGTTCTGGGAACGGAGCCTGCAGAAGACAAGAGGAGCCACGCAAATGCCAGCTTCGCCTCTTTCTGTGGGACCAGTGTGTTTAGGAGCCCCAAATGCATCAGAAAGCAAAATAGCAAAGGCAAGGGTAGCGCCAGGATAAAGGGAGGGAGGATGCAGACAGTCCAGAAAGAGGCTGCACATCCCAGTCTTTGTTCGCCTGCTACTTGGCACCTCCTTATACTCAAGAGTCCTTAGGCCTGTAACCCTAGAGGCGCTTAGGGGTGGTGTTTCTCTAAATTCCTCTCTTAAGAGAAGAACTCGGCCATCACATTGGTATTGAAGATATGACAAACCTAGCTCCCCATTGCAAAAATGCACCACTGCAAAAGACGATTGTGGTGAAGGAATGGGGTCACATGCGTCCCCTTCAAACAGTAAAGCCCACTTTGTTCAGATTTTTTTTGCTCCCCCTACCTCTTCTACCAAGCTCCGTCTTCCATCAAAACATAACGAAAATAATCCCTGGAATCAGAATTGTATCCTTTGAAAAATGCACACACAAACACTGCTATAAGAAGAAGTATCAAGCCAACTCCCTCTTGCTCATCCGATATAAATTTATTTTCCTGACTTGCAGCGTCTAACTCAAGGAATCTCAAAGAGAAACATTCTATGACAGAAACAAAACAAGGCAGGCCTAAGTAAATCATGCGCTGACAGCAGCCACATTTACATATTGAGTGAAAGAGGGTGCCAGCTCACTAGGTCCTTATTTCTTCTTCAACTGAATTGCCATAGAAGGTTTCTGCTAGAGTCTCAATTTTATTGTAGCAATTCATAGTGCGCAAACCTTAGTGCACCTTCGATAAGTTCTTTACTGCACAAGGAGTCATTCTTCCCCCGAGCCCCCACCCAAAGTCCCAAAATAGGAGAGAAATACATAGCAAGTATGGCTGTGTTCCTCCCTACATCTTCAGTTCATTTGGTGAGTTTTACCCAAGTTTTTCTGGGAGAGTCAAAGTTTACACAGAGTCTGTTATAAATAGGGTTTTCTTCAAACTGTTTTGAAACAAAGTTTTAAAGCATTCATGCTGTCAGAGAAAGTTATTGCCAGCATGCACTCACCAAGAAGTGGCAAACATTGGAAATGAAGGCCTTCCCCTTTTTTTGCTAATTGACACCATCAGGGAAATGCACAAAGATGAAGCATGGGGAAAATAAACTATGAATTTCCAACGTACATCCCGTCCAAGGACACATTAAGGGAGGTGCATAGGATGAGAGCTGCCAAAAATTTCTAGGTTCAGAACAAGTGTCCAAGCACAATGTAGACTTGGCAAAAGTCCTTTCCTCTTAATTTCAAACTTGTGCATACATACGTATGGGGAAATGTAATCTCTGTTTTTCTGAGAAGCTTTCCCTTTCTAGAACATCCAAGTTCTGCTTTATAAGCACGTACAGCATGAAAATGGAGCTAATTATATGGAGGAAACTTCCTGTCAAATAAGAAAATTACTCCCACAGCAGTTAGAAGTCTTGTGTAATGAGGTGGGCACTTCGGGGGAGGATACAGCTCAACTACACCCTGTGCTCCACACAGTGTGATATTATTTCCGTGACCCCTAAAAAATGTGTAAAATTGTAAAGGTAAAAGTGGAGACTGCAGAAGAAAAGAAAAAAAAGTAAGTTATATTATTGAGCACTTAATATGTCCCCAGGAATGCGCTAGGATCTTTGCAATATTCCTATACGATCAGTTATCTTTCATTCTTTCCTTTTTTTTTTTTCATTTAAAAATGAAGACATTGAAAACCAGATGGGGTAACCTCTCCAAGATCTACAGAGGGATGAGGATCACAGTCTAGCCAATTTTAAGGCCACTTTCTTTCTGCTATACAATATTGTCTCCAATTGTAAGGGTCCTTAAAAACTACAGAGCCAAACACCACCAAAGTCACAAAAAGAGTGGAAACAAGGTCTTGATTCTTTGCTCAGTCATCTTTCCATTTTAGCAGTGACCAATGCTATGTCTGCTTCAAAATGTTTCTTCTACTCACTGGACCTCTAAGATGAGCCTAGAATTCTCCTGTTTCAGTTCTTAACCCAGTGTCATATGCAATCAGACACAGGCCACACTATGCAACAATGTTGATAGTAAAAGGCATCAGTTGTATGGATCAAAGATTTCAACAAATGTTTACTTGTGCCCACTATACTACAAAGCTTGTAGGGTAAAAAAGTAAAATCCATACAGGCATAGCCTTAGCCTGGCTACACCTATAGCCCCTTTGCCCACCTTCCACTCAATCACATTATGCTTATTAGAAGCTAAGCAGACCTTGTCAAAGCAAAAACAGACATAGGTGAACACCCATGCAACAGGACAGACGGGTGGTTCAAATTCCCACAATGAAGGTAGAATGCCTCGTCAGCAATCTCCTCCCCTGATGACTAACACAGGTCTGCAACCTTACTATGGCCCCAAACGCAATCTTCCTTCAGCTCCAGTATCCATACTTCCAGCCTAAGCACAGACCTCACCCACCTTGGCTTTTCCCCCCTACTTTCCCATCAGTCATCCCAATTGCATCCAAATCAGTTTTCCTTCCACCCCTCCTATTTCATCCCATCTTTTCAACTAGCCCCTTCTTTAGTGTCCTGTGGAATCCTGCTCTGCTTAAAGAATAAACTCCCACATAGACTCAAGTTCTTACACAAGCATTCTTTCCACCCCACTGTCTTAACAGACACATGGCTTTTCCTTAACTATAAAATGGATCTCAAATGCCTTTCCTAAAGAATCTGTTTTTTCTTCCCCAGTCTTCCCTGTGGGGCATTGTTCAGCAGCCATTGTACAAGAGCCCTCCTCCTTTGCAACACTCTTCCCTCACTTCGTCATGTCATCTTCTGAACTTTGATGCCTTGAGCACCTGTTCACATTAGATTCCATCAGCACACTAACCATATATTGATGGTTGATGACCTTGGCCTCACAGGATCTCAACCTCCTCAACATCAAGGACTTTCACCTCCTCTCTGTTTCTCATCACAAAATCAGTGGCTCTCAAAGCACGGTCCTTGGACCAATAGCATCAGCATCATCTGGAAACTTGTCAAATATGTGGATTCTCAGGAGTCACCCTAGACTTGTTGAATCAGAATCCCTAGGGGTGAGACATGATGTTAAAACCTGTTAAAGCAATTTCTGCTTTAACAGGCTTTCCAGGTGATTCTGATGCATTAAAGTCTGAGAACCACAATGCTAAGTATGGCCACATTATGGATCATGCCATCAACTGGAGCTTTTCTTCTCTAAGATATTATTTATTTATTTATTTATTTATTTATTTATTTATTTATTTATTATTATTATTTTAGATGAAGTCTCGCCCTGTCACCCAGGCTGGAGGCAATGGCACAATCTCGGCTCACTGAAACCTCCGTCTCCCGGGTTCAAGCAATTTCCTGCCTCAGCTTCCCAAGTAGCTGGGATTACAGGTGTGCACCATCATGCCTGGCTAATTTTTGTATTTTCAGTAGAGACGGGGTTTCGCCATGTTGGCCAGGCTGGTCTTGAACTCCTGACCTCAAGTGATCCGCTAGCCATGGCTTCCCAAATTGCTGGGATTAAAGGCATGAGCCACCACACCTGGCCTCTAAGATATTTCGGCTTCACTTCCTTACCATTACATTTTCTATTCCCTCAAAATTGCTAATGTAATATTTGCCTGGTGTGGATGTCTAGAGCCTCTTCTGGCCTCACTTTCAATCAGTCTGGACCCTAGTCTGCCATTATCATGATGCCTCTAAGCCTGCAATTGCCATTTGTTTTCTGGGACTTGGGGAAAAAACTATGAAATTGTGCTGATCAAGTCCAAGCTACTTATCATATCTGGACCCTTGATGCTAGTTTAAAACCATACTATTTGTTTCTTTTGGACTTGCTAATTCGTTCTTTACAATATTTCTAACATTTACCCACTTTCTTTAAGTTTGACATTTCTACCTAGTCTTCCACGCACTTAGCCAAGTTCCCTCAATTTCTATCACTGCTCTTCCAACCATCTCTATGGCTCTTCCTCTTGCCTCTGAAGTAGAGTTGAATCTCCTCCTTTCTTATGCTCTGAAACTCCTCCCTCATGACTCTACCAGAACCCTGCTCCTCAGGAATGCCAGTGGAATGTGGGGTCTCTAGGAAGAGAAGTTCAAGACCATGTCTTACCAGGGGGTGGAAAGGCTGTGAGTGATTAATAGTGTCATATGCCAGAAATAGATCAAGATAAAGAGACTGAGGAAAGGTTGTTGTGGCCGTTAGCAGATAACTGGTTTAATTAGAAAGGTTATGACAGAAGACACATTATAGGAGATTAAGAGAATATAGTGAAGATATAAGGGTGTGTATGGCCCCCTATTGAAATAAATCTAGCCATGCAGCAAAAGCTGAAAGTAGAAATGTAGCTAAAAAAAAAACTGGGGATTCAATGGGTGGTCTTCTATCCACCATTGGTGAGATCTGTATTTGTTCTGTGCATCCAGTCAAGAGGAACAGAATAAAGGCACTACAAGATGGGATTATTGAAGATGAAAGGTCCTAAAAAGCAAAGAAAAACAGAATACAGAGCACAACTAGAGGGGCATATTTAATAGGAATCTTAGTTGCAAGTGACAGAATACCTCATCTACAAACTTAGGCCAAAATGGGAATACATTGGCTTACATAACCAGTTAAAGTAGGAATGTAGCTGGCAATGGCTGTACCCAGAGACTCGATGCCTCCAGAATCATGGGCTCATTTTTGCTGCTCTCTAGGTACCTTCTGTATGCTCTTCTGTCATATAAAGACTAGCATAGGCTAGACTCATTCTAAATATTGCCTCTGATACATATCTTTTCAACTTTTCCATCAGAAAAGAAAGGGTTTCTCCCCAACTCCAGTTAAATGCTATAAGGACTCTGATTGGCCCAGTCTGTTTTGTGTTCTGCCCTATGGTTGGGGTAAAAGGGAGAAGGTGAAGCATTGTGATTGGTAGTTTCCATTAGAAACATATGGATGGATGGAGGAGCACTTCCTCAGTCCCACACAGAAGGAATGGTACTTTCACCAACAAACTATGGAGGAATGATGTACAGGGTATACAGAAACAACCCATGTCAACTAGAAGTGATTAGCCCTGGACAGGAACAGAGTCATCTTTTTGGAGACCCAAATTGGTACCAATTTGTGTGTGTGTGTGTGTGTGTGTATATATATATATGTGTATATATATATATATATATATATATATACACACACACACACACACACACACACATACACACACATATGTGTGTGTATATACACATATACATAGACTTCATTAGGCTCTCAGACCTCAGGGCTGTTGGAGAAGGCTTCAGCAGGGGAACTGATGGTGAAGGCTAGTGTTCTCCATCCTCAACTTTCCTTGCTTGGATCACACATTTGTACATATGGAAGGGCAAAAAATGAACACTGTTTTTCATTGCAGCCATCTTCTGTGACACAGATGCACAGTCTGCTATGAAGACCTTCTCTCAAGTGGCAGCTGGGGGTCCATGCCAGATCATGGTGCTTCATGACAAACTAACTAGCTACCAGGGCTAGTGGCACTTAGTGAGGACCCTCCTCCCCCACTGTGTGCTGATGACATATACACACCTGACAATAGCTTCAGTCTTCTCTGTTCCTTTTACTCTGTAGCCACCATACGCATGATTTAAAACACTTCTTAAATATCATGGTTCACCCTTGTCCGAATGCAGAGTCAAAGCTGTTTGTACTTTATTATTATTTCCAAGGTGAATAGATGGCTTGCTTTTTGCAAAAATAATTAAAGCTTTTGTGTTTTGAGTTAAAATATATATGTGTGTGTGTGTAAGATAGTTATGTATTTGTGCATAAGATTGTTGTGTATGTGCATGTATAGATATACATGTGTATATGTCTATATGTATGTAGAGGTAGACACACACATAATACGTATGTATAGAGGTATGTCACAGGCCAGGTACTCTGGAAGCAAAAGCTGAGACAGTCTTGTGTGCAAGATGTGTACTGGGGATCAGCATCTTTGAAAGGAAGAGCAGGAAAGCCATATTTGGGAAAAGGAGAAGTAAAACTGCAGTGCAGGTCTGCCAAAGCCTCCATCAACCCCATGGAGAGCTCTAGAGTAAATGTCACTAGCCAGAATTGCCTAGGAAGAAACAGCTGGACCAAAGTGACCAGGCCTTGATTTGCCAGCCTCACTCAGTCGCTGGACATGGACTGCCCAGGAAAGGCATAATATCTGGGAAGAAACCTCTCCACAGTTGAGGCAGACCTTGAAGATGCTGGCAGCTAGAGGCTGTTATTTGCATTTCCCATAACTGGGCAGCAAGCCCGTCCTTAAAGAGGAATCTAGACGGTGTAGCTCCACGTCTACTCTTTAAGAGTAGAAGAAAACTTATGTCAAATGTCATAACAAAGGCCATAGAGTAGAGCGTGGTCCTTTCACTATGTTAGTGCCCTTGTGGGAGCAGCAAAGCTGAACAAGGCATCAGCACTAAGGGTAGTCTTCAGTGAGTCCACAGAAAAGAAATTCTCAATTCTAAAATGGAGAGGTAGCATAACTTTCAAGTGGCAACAAACTCTCTGACACACTTCTTATCAAGAGGTGGAGTCTATTGCTCCTTCCCTTGAATTTGGGCTGCCTTATGATTGTTTTGCTCTCTAGAGTATGTGAGGGGAGACACTACACTCTCTCCAGACCTACTGAACCTTCAAGAGAATGTGGTCCCCGGGAGCCCTGGGCTGTCAAGTAAGTCCAACTACCATGCTGGAGAGATCACACAGAGAAGCTCTGAGACTACTTGGAAGTAGAGAACTCATCCAGCCATCCTTATCAAGGTGCCAGCAAAGGGTTGAGGACTAGCTACCAGCTAAAACCACCAAGTGACCCAGCTGATGTCAATCAGCCAATCCTTGCCTGAATACCTGACAAAATTGTGTGATATGACAAAATGGAGTTGTTTGAAGGCTCTAATTTTTAGAGGTTTGATAGGTTTTTGTATACAGCAATAGATAACTGGAAGAATGACCAAAAGCAGAGCCAAGGACATGGAAAGTTCTGAAGTAGTCAACAGAAGACTCAAGAGTCACCATACAAGGACAGCCCAGGGAGGATCAGGGACGGGCAGGAACTCATAAGTAAGCAAGTTGATGGAAGGATTAGAAAGCACATGTGACCGCAGTGCCGCAAAGCCGCTGTAGACAGACTGCCTCTCTAGATTCCTCCTCTCTGGGTAGGGCATCTCTGAAAGAAAGGCAGCAGCCCCAGTCAGGGGCTTATAGATAAAACTCCCATCTCCCTGGGACATAGCATCTAGGGCAAGGGGCAGCTGTGGACACAGCTTCAACAGACTTAAACATTCCTGCCTGCTGGCTCTGAAGAGAGCAGTGGATCTCCCAGCACAGTGCTCGAGCTCTGCTAAGGGTTAGACTGCCTCCTCAAGTGGGTCCCTTATCCCCTTGCCTCCTGATGGGGAGATACCTCCCAGTAGGGGTCAACAGACACCTCATACAGGAGAGCTCCAGCTGGCATCTGGCAGGTGCCCCTCTGGGACGAAGCTTCCAGAGGAAGGAGCAGGCAGCAATCTTTGCTGTTCTTCAGCCTCCACTGGTGATACATGGGCAAACAGGGTCTGGAGTGGACCCCCAGCAAACTCCAGCAGACCTGCAGAAGAGGGCCCTGACTGTTAGAAGGAAACTAACAAACAGAAAGCAATAGCATCAACATCAACAAAAAGGACAACCACTCAAAAACTCCATCCGAAGGTCGCCAATAGCAAAGACCAAAGGTAGATAAATCCACGAAGATGAGGAAAAACTGGCACAAAAAGGCTGAAAATTCCAAAAACCAGAATGCCTCTTCTCACAACTCCTCACCAGCAAGGGAATGATACTGGACAGAGAATGAGTTTGATGAATTGACAGAAGTAGGCTTCAGAAGGTGGATAATAACAAACTCCTCCAAGCTATAAGGAGCATGTTCTAACCCAATGCAAGGAAGCTATGAACCTTGATAAAAGGTTAGAGGAATTGCTAACTAGAATAACCAGTTTAGAACATAAATGACCTGATGGAGCTGAAAAATACAGCATGAGAACTACATGAAACATATACAAGTTTCAATAGCCAAATCGATCAAGGGGAAAAAAGGAGATCAGAGATTGAAGATCAACTTAATGAAATAAAGCATGAAGACAAAATTAGAGAAAAAAGAATGAAAAGAAATGAACAAAGCCTCCAAGAAATATGGGACTATGTGAAAAGACCAAACCTATATTTGATTGATGTAACTGAAAGTGACGGGGAGAATAAAACCAAGTTGGAAAACACACTTCAGGATATTATCCAGGAGAACTTCCTGAACCTAGCAAGACAGGCCAACATTCAAATTCAGGAAATACAGAGAACACCACAAAGATACTCCTTGAGAAGAGCAACCCCAAGACACATAATTATTAGATTTACCAAGGTTGAAATGAAGGAAAAAGTGTTAAGGGCAGCCAGAGAGAAAGGTTGGGTTACCCACAAAGGGAAGCCCATCAGACTAACAGTAGATCTCTCTGCAGAAACCCTACAAGCCAGAAGAGAGTGGAGGCCAATATTCAACATTCTTAAAGAAAAGAATTTTCAATCCAGAATTTCATATCCAGCCAAACTAACCTTTGTAAGGGAAGGAGAAATAAAATCCTTTACGGACAAGCAAATGCTGAGGGATTTTGTCACCACTAGGTCTGCCTTATAAGAGCTCCTGAAAGAAGCACTAAATATGAAAAGGAAAAACCGGTACCAACCACTGCAAAAACAAACCAAAATGTAAAGACCATCAACATTATGAAGAAACTGCATTAACTAATGGGCAAAATAACCACCTAGCATCATAATGACAGGATCAAATTCACACATAACAATATTAACCTTAAATGTAAATGAGTTAAATGTGCCAATTAAAAAACGCAGACTGGCAAATGGGATAGAGTCAAGACCCATTGGTGTGCTGTATTCAGGAGACCCATCTCACATGCAAAGACACACATAGGCTCAAAATAAAGGGATGGAGAAAGATTTATCAAGCAAATGGAAAGTAAGTAAGTAAATAAATAAATAAATAAAAGCAGGTGTTGCAATCCTAGTCTCTGATAAAACAGACTTTAAAGGCCAGGCACAGTGGCTCACGCCTGTAATCCCAGCACTTTCAGAGGCCTACGCGGGTGGATCACAAGGTCAGGAGATCGAGACCATCCTGGCCAGCACAGTGAAACCCCGTCTCTACTAAAAATACAAAAAAAAAAAAAAAAAAAAAATTAGCCGGGCATGGTGACGGGCGCCTTTAGTCCCAGCTACTCGGGAGGCTGAGGCAGGAGAATGGCGTGAACCCAGGAGGTGGAGCTTGCAGTGAGCCAAGATCATGCCACTGCACCCCAGCCTGGGCAACAGAGTGAGACTCCGTCTCAAAAAAAAAAAAAAATTTAAAAATTTAAAAAAAAGACAGCCTTTAAGCCAACAAAGATAAAAAAAAAAAAAGAAGCAAAGAAGGGCATTACATAATAGTAAAGGAATCAATGCAACAAGAAGAGCTAACTATCCTAAATATATATGCACCCAATACAGGAGCACCCAGATTCATAAAGTAAGTTCTTAGAGACATACAAAGAGACTAGTTCTTAGAGACATACAAAGAGACTTAGACTCCCACACAATAATAGTGGGAGACTTTAACACCACACTGTCAATATTAGTCAGATCAAGGAGACAGAAAATTAACAAGGATATTCAGGACTTGAACTCAGCTCTCGGCCAAAAGGACTTAATAGACATCTACAGAACTCTCCACCTCAAATCAACGGAATATACATTCTTCTCAGCACCATATCATACTTCTTCTAAAATTGACCACATAATTGGAAGTAAAACACTCCTCAGCAAACGCAAAAGGATGGAAATCATAACAAACAGTCTCTCAGACCACAGGGCAATCAAATTAGAACTCAGGATTAAGAAACTCACTCAAAACTACACAACTACATGGAAACTGAACAACCTGCTCCTGAATGACTACTGGGTAAATAAGAAAATTAAGGCAGAAATAAATAAGTTCTTTGAAACCAATGAGAACAAAGACACAATGTACCAGAATCTCTGGGACACAGGTAAAGCAGTGTTTAGAGGGAAATTTATGGCACTAAATGCCCACAAGAGAAAGCAGAAAACATCTAAAATTGACACTCTAACATCACAACTAAAAGAACTAGAGAAACAAGAGCAAACAAATTCAAAAGCTAGCAGAAGACAAGAAATAACTAAGATCAGAGCAGAATGAAGGAGATAGAGACATGAAAAACCCTTCAAAAAAAATCAGTGAATCCAAGAGCTGGTTTTTTGAAAAGATCAACAAAATAGATAGACTGCTAGCCAAACTAATAAAGAAGAAAAGAGAGAAGAATCAAATAGACATAATAAAAAATGATAAAGGGGATATCACTGCTGATTCCACAGAAATACAAACTACCATCAGAGAATACTGTAAACGCCTCTATGCAAATAAACTAGAATATCTAGAACAAATGGATAAATTCCTGGACACATATACCCTACCAAGACTAAACCAGGAAGAAGTCGAATCCCTGAATAGATCAATAACAAGTTCTAAAATTGAGGCAGGAATTAATAGCCTACCAACCAGAAAAAGCCCAGGACCAGATGGATTCACAACCAAATTCTACCAGAGGTACAAAGAGGAGCTGGTACCATTCCTTCTAAAACTATTCCAAGCAATAGAAAAAGACAGACTCCTCCTTAACTCTTCTTGTGAGGCCAGAATCATCCTGATACCAAAACCTGGCAGAGACACAACAACAAAAAAATTTCAGGCCAATATCCCTGATGAACATTGATGGGAAAATCCTTCATAAAATACTGGCAAACCGAATCCAGCAGCACGTTAAAAAGCTTATCTACCACGATCAGGTCAGCTTCATCCCTGGGATGCAAGGCTGGTTCAAAATACGCAAATCAATAAATGTAATGCATCATATAAACAGAACCAATGACAAAAATCACATGATTATCTCAATAGATGCAGAAAAGGCCTTCGATAAAAGTCAATACCTTGTTGTGCTAAAAACACGCAATAAACTAGATATTGATGGAAAGTATCTCAAAATAATAAGGGCTATATATGACAAACCCACAGCCAACAACCTACTGAATGGGAAAAGCTGGAAGCATTCCCTTTGAAAACTGGCACAAGACAAAGATGCCCTCTCTCACCACTCCTATTCAACATAGTATTGGAAGCTCTGGCCAGGGCAATCAGGCAAAAGAAAGAAATAAAGAGTATTCAAATAGGAAGAGAAAAAGTCAAATTATCTCTGCTTGCAGACAACATGATTGTATATTTAGAAAACCCCATCATCTCAGCCCAAAAACTCCTAAAGCTGATAAGCAACTTCAGCAAAGTCTCAGGATACAAAATCAATACGCAAAAATCACAAGCATTCCTATAAACCAATAATAGACAAATAGAGAGCCAAATAATGAGTGAACTCCCATTCACAATTTCTAGGAAGAGAATAAAATACCTAGGAATACACCTCACAAGGAATGTGAAGGACCTCTTCAAGGAGAACTACAAACCACTGCTCAAGGAAATAAGAGAGGACACAAACAAATGAAATGAAAAACATTCCATGCTCATGGATAGGAAGAATCAATATCGTGAAAATGGCCATACTGCCCAAGGTAATTTATAGATTCAATGCCACCCCCATCAAGCTACCATTGACTTTCTTCACAGAATTAGAAAAAGCTACTTTAAAGTTCATATGGAACCAAAAAAGAGCCCGCATTGCCAAGACCATCCTAAGCAAAAAGAACAAAGCTGGAGGCATCATGCTACCTGACTTCAAACTATACTACAAGGCTGCGGTTACCAAACAGCATGGTACTGGTACCAAAACAGATATATAGACCAACAGAACAGAACAGTGGCCTCAGAAATAACACCACACATCCACAACCATCTGATCTTTGACAAGCCTGACAAAAACAAGCAATGGGGAAAGGATTCCCTATTTAATAAATGGTGTTGGGAAAACTAGCTAGTCATATGCAGAACACTGAAACTGAACCCCTTCCTTACACCTTATACAAAAATTAGCTCAAGATGAAATAAAGATTTAAACATAAAACCTAAAACCATAAAAACCCTAGACAAAAACCTAGGCAATACCATTCAGGACATAGGCATGGTCAAAGACTTCATGACTAAAACACTGAAAGCAATTGCAACAAAGCCAAAATGGATAAATGGCATCTAATTAAACTAAAGAGCTTCTGCACAGCAAAAGAAACTATTATCAGAGTGAACAGGCAACCTACAGAATGGGAGAAAATTTTTCCAATCTATCCACCTGACAAAGGGCTAATATCCAGAATCTAAAAGGAACTTAAATTTGCAAGAAAAAAACAGATAACCCCATCAAAAAGTGGGCCAAGTATGTGAACAGACACTTTTCAAAAGAAGACATTTCTGTGGCCAACAAACATATGAAAAAAAGCTCATCATCACTGGTCATTAGAGAAATGCAAATCAAAACTGCAATGAGATACCATCTAATGCCAGTTAGAATGGTGATCATTAAAAAGTCAGGAAACAACAGATGCTGGAGAGGATGTGGAGAAATAGAAATGCTTTTACACTGTTGGTGGGAGTGTAAATTAGTTCAACCATTGTGGAAGATAATGTGGTGATTCCTCAAGGATCTAGAACTAGAAATACCATTTGACCCACCGATCCCATTACTGGGTATATACCCAAAGAATTATAAGTCATTCTACAATAAAGACACATGCACACATATGTTTCTTGCAGCACTATTCACAATAGCAAAGACTTGGAACCAACCCAAATGCCCATCAATGATAGACTGGATAAAAAAAAAAATGTGGCACATATACACCATGGAATACTATGCAGCCATAAAAAAAGATGAGTTCATGTCCTTTGCAGGGACATGGATGAAGCTGGAAACCATCACTCTCAGCAAACTAACACAGGAACAGAAAACCAAACACTGCATGTTCTCACTCATAAGTGGGAGTTGAACAATGAGAACATATGGGTGCAGGGAGGGGAACATCACACACTGGGGCTTGTAAGATGGTGGCGGACAAGGGGAGGGATAACATTAGGAGAAATACCTAATGTAGATGACGGGTTGATGGGTGCAGCAAACCACCGTGGCACATGTATACCTATGTAACAAGCCTGCATGTTCTACACATGTATCCCAGAACTTAAGTATAATAAAAAAAAAAAAAAAGAAAGAAAGAAAAAAGATAATGTAGCCCTGCAGAAAAAAAGAAAACACATGTAAGGCTGGGCATCCCAGTAATTCCACCTGTAATCTCAGTGCTTTGGGAAGCAGAGGCAGTATCACTTGAGCCCAGGAGTTGAAGAGCAGCCTGGGCAACATAGGGAGACCTTGTCTTTACACGAAATTTAAAAATTAGCCTGGAATGGTTGTGCACATCTGTGGTCCCAGCTACTTGGCAGGCTGAGTTGGGAGGATCACTTGAGCTTGGGAGGTCAAGGCTGCAGTGAGCTGTCATCACGACACTGCACTTCAGCCTGGAAAGTAGAGCAAGATGCTGTCTCAAGAAAGACAGAGAGAGAGGGAAGGAGGGAAGGAAGGAAGGAAGGAAGGAAGGAAGGAAGGAAGGAAGGAAGGAAGGAAGGAAGGAAGGAAGGAAGGCAGGCAGGCAGGCAGGCAGGCAGGCAGGCAGGCAAGCAAGCAGGCTAGCAAGGCACATGGGATGCATCTAATTTGACTTGTACTGAGATGGACACCACTGGCTTCCAGAATCCTAGTGAAGCAGTAAATGAGATAATTTACTGATACTAGTATCTGGGAGAAAATAAGACTATAGCTTGGAGAACATGAAAAACTTTAGAAAATTATGGAGTAACAATGGCAAGAAAAATGAACAATATGCATAACAGGGTCACCAGCAAGGGCCACTGAAATCAGATGTCCAGGCCAAGTCATCAATGTTCTGAGACCTTCTGAAATGATGCTGTGCCCCTGAGGAGCAGAATTAGGATTGACTTAATTATGGTGGACACCATAGCAGGTCAAAGGAGTTTATCAAGAGATGAATTGATGAAGGTGATCTTGTAGCAAATCTGGCCAGGGATGTGGATGCAGTAAAAGGGGAAATGAGAAGGTTGAGGGTGTTGAGATCTTAATGAAAGTAAAAATTAAGGTTCTAGGGAGTGGTTATGAGTAAAATAATTCACTCATCATTCATTCATTTCTTCATTCAACAAATATTTGAGTATCTACTATGTGCCAGGTACAATTCAAAGCTACTAAGTTTCTCTGCCTGAAGGTGAGCAAGGATAGGAAGAGAAAATAAAATTGACTAAGTCCACTTAACAGAAGTTGAAACTCAGGGACCATATGTTCTCCTGTATCATCTGTGAGATTGAACTATATTTCCATTGCCATTAAGAATAAAGAGTTTACCATTTTCTAATTACTTAAACATATTGTAAATGTAATGCAAGTAAAGGCCTTGTTTGATTCCAAGTATAGGCTGGCCCCTGAAATAGATCATATTCAGAAAGATTTTAAATAATTTTTAAACAGTCCAGACCCTGTATAGACCAGATAGAAAACCTGACCTCTGACCACTGCTGAATAATCAAGAATAAATAACTTAACTTTTCTGTACTTCCATGTAGTTACCTATGGCAGATAATGATTCTCATCACTCCCGTTCTGAGCACTCATTGATTCCACGCATTCAATAAGCATTTACCGAATATCCTACTCTCTGCCACCAACTGTGCCACTTACTATTGCTATATACCTGTACTGTTTGTATGTTATCTTATTTATTCCTCACAAGAATTCTACAAAGTAGATATCACTTGCCCTATGCTCTATGGCTTAAAGAGGAAAGTAGCTTGCTCAGGGGTAGGTATGTTACAAACGGCTGGACTAGAATATCTGTTTTCAAAGTCCATGCTATTTTCCCAATACCATGAAGCCTCATGGAATACTACATTTATTTGTTTATGTGTCTGTCTTTTTAAAAAAATAAGAATTTGGCTGGGCACGGAGGTGCACGTCTATAATCCCAAGCACTTTGGGAGGTCGAGGCGGGAGGTCAGGGAGGATCACCTGAAGTTGGGAGTTTTAAGACCAGCCTGGCCAACATGTTGAAACCCCGTCTCTACTAAAAATACAAAAAATTAGCTGGGCATGGTGGCATGCACCTGTAATCCCAGTTACTCGGGAGGCTGACGCTGGAGAATCTCTTGAACCTGGGAAGTGGAGGTTGCAGTAAGCCAAGATCATGCCATTGCACTCCAGCTTGGGTGACAGAGCAAGACTATGTCTTAAAAATAAATAAACAAACAAACAAGAATCTTGCCAGACTCATATGTATTTTCCTCTTATGCTTAACGTATATTAAATAATCAACAAATATGCAATTCATAACTAAAATGAGGTACAAATTTGACAAAAAGTGTTCCCTAGATGCATGTAATTAGATTAATTATGTGAATTTCTAACTCGCATAGCCAATTGCTTCTTTAGTTATCTCTGTGAATGAGAGGCTGCATGAATGAAGGAAGGAGAGAATGTATAAATGTATCAATAAATGTGCAAATGAAAGTCCAATGTGCTTTTATCTTGGGGCACTGGCATTTGCTCTTCTGCCTGTCTGCAATGCTTTTCCCCCAAATTGTTACATAGCTTGCTTCCTCAATACTTTCTTCAGTTCTGTGCTTGAGGTTCTCATCATCAGTGTGACCTTCACTGGTCACCATATATAAGTAGCAACTACCCTTTCCAGCTGCCATCTCTGTATCTTTACCCTGCGCCACTATTTTTCACAGCATTTACTACCACTGCATATATATATATATATATATGTTAATCCATTTATTCTGCCTCTTCCACTAGAACATATATGCCATGAGAACAGGAACTTTTTCTATACTGTACCCTGGTGCATTCCCAGTGCCATAGGTGCCCAATTCATATCTATTGAATGAATGAACTTGACTACTAAACTTAGTCATAGAAATCAAATTCCTTCTTACCTTTTCTCTTGCTGTGCTCGAGAAGTCAAATAATTTTATCAACAATTGAAACAGTGCTGTGTTCCAGAAGTATAATCCTTCTATGAAAAAAGGCTATGAGATTGACTTTTTGTTTTCTATTATTTCTTCGTGTTTGTGTGTGTGTGTGTGTCTGCACAGGCACGCGTGTTCACACGTACACACACATGCTGTGGGGTTTGGTTGGGATGATATGCTGCTACTTTTTCTGTCTGCAGGAGCCGGAGAGAAAGCCCAGGTGTATCCATTCTCTCCTTACTGAATTCAAAGGTTAAAGTGGAGCTTTCCACCTACTAAGTGGAAGTCGCTGTGACTCTACCTCCACCTCTTCTTTCCTTCTCTTAACCACTTGATTTTGGTAGTGGTTTGGAAGTTAAGTGAAATATTATTTCATCCACTGTGATATTGGAAGAGGGAAAAAAGGAACCCTAAAGGCTAATGTTTACTTCGTGGCAGGACAAAAGAGGTGCAAACAGCTCAATTCAGATTTCCCCTGTCTACTGCAGATAGCTCATGATGAAATACTTCCATTATAAAAGAAGGCCATTCACTAACTTATACAGATTTTTTTTAGGTAATTAGTTTGAGAAAGTACCCCTTCTCAGATAGCATTGAAGCATAATACTGTAATAATATTCATTGCAATGGAATATTATTATAATATTACCTAGTGGCAACCAATCTCATTCTCCAATTCACTGTGTCTCCAATTACTTAGATAAACATCCTAACATTGTGATATTTAAGTGTGGGCCCTATGTGGCCAGGATGTTAACAGACTTTCACGCAGAACTTTTGGAGCCAAAATAAGCTAGATGCTACTGAGCTCATGGCCAAAGCTGAAATGGTAATAATACTTCATATTACTTCGTATGTCCCATGTTATCTTCACCACCCTCTGTGTCAGGAAGAAGTCAGGTATTTTCCCAAAATTACAGATGGTGAGACTTAAGACTCTGAGACCAACAATGTTTCATGGTCACACAGCTAGACATGGTACAACCAAAACTAGAGTCCAGGGTTTGGGGCCCATGTGACTTCCTCTGCTTGCTTTCCATGGCCCAGAAAAACTAGGATCATGCCATGGACTGCAGGCCTTCCTCTCTGGACTCGAATTTCTAGATCTCCAAGTTAATAACAACTCACAAGTAGGGCCACATCAAGAAAGGTAAGGATTTGTGGGCGCAATTCATGATGAGAGCCAGCGTGGAAATTGTGCCTCCAGATACCCAACCCAGGCCAGTGACTATCAAGAGAAAGCCCTGGATCCTACACTGAACAGAGGGAAGCAGAAGGCCCCAAATGAGCCTCCCAGAGCAGCCTGCTTTCCGGTCTGGCCAAGCATTTACTGTGAAACCCTGAAGGATTCAGCAATAAATCACTGTTTCCCATCTTAAATTCCTTTTCTGCAATAAGGAGAGTTATTTACTTTATGATTAATAGTTCTCTGAAAATATCCATGTAGGTGCATTTCTTAGACATTGCTCTTTTTTCTCCTTCCCTCCCAATTTCTTTCCCTTTTTTTATCTCCTGCCTCCCTCTTTTTCTCTGTTTCACTCTCACTCTCTCTCTCTTTCATAGACTTTTAAATCCTCAGTCTTCCTCAGAACGTCAGTTTTCTATTGCTGCATTAAAAATTACCTCAAAATCCCATCTTAAAACAACAGAAATTTATTATGTCACAGTTTCTGTAGGTCAGAAGTCTGGGCATGGCATGGCTGGATTCTCTGCTCAGGGTCTCACCAGGCTGAAATCATGGTGCCAGCTGTGGTTGTAGTTCCTGTTTGGGTCCTCTTCCAAGCTCACTGGTTGTTGGCAGAATTCACATCCTTAAGGCTGTAGGATGAAGATGCCTGTTTCCTGCTAGTTGTTGGCCAGGGACTAGTATTAATGCCCAGAGGCTACTCACAGTTCCTTGCCCTGTGCCCCCCAATGACAGGTCACATCATAAATGTGTGTTACCTCTGGACAGCTGGAGTTTGTCTCTCTGGCGCCCTCATCTACATCCAGCTGCTTTTAAAGGGCTCATGTGATTAAGTCAGGTCCACCAGGATAATCTCCCATCTTAAAATCAACTGTGCCGTAGAGCATAACCGAATCCCTGGAATAACATCCATCATATTCACAGTGCCAGAGAATATGCAACCGAATCCCTGGAATAACATCCATCATATTCACATTGCCAGAGATTACACAGGGCATGTATAATAAAGGGCATGGGGAATCTTGGGCACCATCTTAGAATTCTGCCTATCACACTTAACAACAGCAAACTCCTAACATGAACAAAAGAGTGTTCTTTTTTCTTCCAAGGGATGACTCTGTCCTCCTGCTTGAAATACCCTTCACGTGTCCTCCGAGAAGCCACTCTTTTTTGGGGACTCTTCGAACTCTGACCATTCCTCTGTTGGTTTCTTCCCATCCCCTAACCTCTAAATGCTGAAGTTCCTCAGGATACTCACCTCTTCTCTTTATCTAAAGAAATGCCTGGAAATCTCATCTCCCTCCTGGGGTTGAAGTACCACCTACTCACAGATGGCTCCCTAATTTATCTCTGTAGCTCAGGCCTCTGCCTGAATTTCTAACTCACATACCCAATTGCTTCTTCAATATCTCCACTTGCTTTTCAATACGAATCTCAAACTTCACATTTCTAAAGGGAAACTTGGTTCTGCTGCATTCCCAATTCCTCCCCATCTTAATAAGTGGTAACTCTCCCATTCTCCCAATTTGTCAGGCCCAAAGCCTTGAAGTCTTCTTTAACTCATATTTTTCTCACATATCTGAGACCTAACCCATCAGCAAAGTTTGTTGGCTATACCTTCAAAATATCTGACAGTTACTACCTTCACTGCTCGCAAGATGCCGTTGTACAATGCCTGGGTTTTTGCAGTAGACACCTAGCTACCCTATTTATTTTCACCGTTGTCCTCCTCCCTCCTTGGATTCCAATCTATTCTCCCCAAGGCAGCTAGAGTGATCCTTTTAAAACAAAAAATACAGTAATCCCTCCTTCTGCAGTTGTACTTTCCACAGCTTCGGTTATGTGAGGTCAACCACAGTCCAAAAATATTAAATGGAAAATTCCAGGAATAAACAATTCGTAAGTTTTAAATGGCATGCTGTTCCATGTTGAAATCTCACACCCTACCGCTCCATTCAGCCCTGGACGTGAATCCTCCCTTCAACCAGTGTGCATCTACGGTGTATACACCACCACTCATTAGGCACTCAGTAGCCATCTCAGTTATCAGACAGAAAAAATACACAGGGTTTGGTACCCTCCTTAGTTTCAGGTATCCACTGAGAGTCTTGGAACTTTTCCCCTGCAGATAAGGGGGGACCACTGATTATCATGCCACTCTTCTGTTGAAAATGCTTCAGCAGCTTCCCATCTCACCCAGGGAAAATGGCAGTCTTGCTTTATGCTCTGCCCTCCTGCTCTCTCTCTCTCCCCCTCTTGTCCTGCTGCTACCCCCAGCTCCGCTTTGCTTACTCTGCTTCACCACAACACCCTCCATGACTCCCCTCAGACATACCAAGCATGTTCTTTCCACAGGGCCTTTGCACTTACTTTCCTGCTGCCCTTCTTCCAGATATCCACCAGGCTCACTTCCTTACCCTTTCCAGTCTCTGTTCAAGCCATGCTTTATCGGAGGGAATTTCCATGACAACCCTATATGCAAGAACACCATCCTCGGGACTCTCTATCTTCCATACCTTGTTCTACTTTTCAGTATGGTGCTCTTATCTCCTGACCTATGAACTAATTCATCATATGTGTTTATTTCTCATCAGCAGATTTAAATATAAGCTCCATGACAGAGGTGATTTGGTCAGTTCACTGCTGTGACCCAGAGCCTTGATTCATAGTGTCAGGAACATTATAAGCATTCGATGAGTAGTTGCCAAATGAGTGAAAGATGTCCAATCACTTATTCATCAGAGAACGCAGACTTTCTTCATATGGTAGTTTTGATTAGAAAATGTCATAGTGAAAAGACCTTTAGGATATCTTGTAATTCTCTCTCTCTCTCTCTCTTTTTTTAGATGGAGTCTCACTCTGTTGCCAGGCTAGAGTGCAGTGGCGTGATCTCAGCTCTCTGCAACCTCTGCCTCCAGGGTTCAAGTGATTCTCCTGCCTCAGCCTCCCTAGTAGCAGGTACTACAGGTACATGCCACCACGCCAAGCTAATTTTTGTATTTTTAGTACAGACGGGGTTTCACCATGTTGGCCACGATGGTCTCGATCTCTTGACCTTCTGATCCACCCACCTCGGCCTCCCAAAGTGCTGAGATAGGATATATTGTAATTCTCTTTTCAGCATGAGCAAATTCAGTTCATACAACATCAAGGTGAGAATAGAGGAAGGCCTTCATGGAAAAAAGGTGTTCAAATAAACTATTTTCTTTCATCTGAAGGTCTACAGAGTAAGTTTGGATCAAGTATACTTGTTGGAAACCAAAGGATGTTTTCCTCCCTACCCATTTTTTCCACAAACCAAACTAGATTCTCACTTCCACATCTTGGTTCCAGTGGCTCCCTTCCTGGCCTACTGTCACCTCAGCTTCTCACAGTTCTATTGATCCTTTGAGATTCCTCTGGATCACCATCCTCATCACCAGATGCCCTTATGCCATGTGTGACCCCTGCTGCCTTAGACCTCCCCAGGTCCCCTATCTTACTTATATAGCGATCACTGTGCACTTTTTACTCTTTCTCCCTTCACACTGTCTGATCTCGAGTGGTGGGAGTGGTTTTGTCTTATCTTTTTATCTTCATAGCACTTGGCACCATGTATTACCCAGAGGAGATGGTCATTATCTGTCTGTAGTATAGGATTGGATTGATTCAAATTATTGCATTTATTCAGGAATTAGGCATTGAGCTTGCAGACTGCTTTGTTTCACTTTCAGGACACAGAGACTCAGAGCAGTTGCCTGACCTTTTGAAAGTCGGCTCAATGGCCTCAGACTATAGTCACCTGTCCAGCTTCCTTAGGGGACACTCCCAACCAAAGAGCTATGATTTTGTCAAGTATAAAGAGCTGTCAAAAATGATCAGGGGAAAAATATCCTCTTTGTAAGTAAATTAAACTCTCTGCCTATTTTCTATTTCATGCTCACTATCTGTGTTTTCCAAGAAAATTGTACTTTAAAAATCTCTATGAAAAGCAACTTCTTTTCTATTCAAGTGGAATAACAATTCACCCTGTGCTACCCATGGCCCCTGCTAATGCTTCCAAGGGAATACAGCAAAGGGCTACTTTCCTTTACAGCCTTTGATTTGTTCTTTCTGCATCCTGTAATTTCCATCCACACCGGAGAGCCAAGTGCTGTGCGGAGCTAATTAAACACTATAATTATCCATGAGCTATGGCCCAGAAGCAGAGAGAAAATCTAACACATGTCTGATTGTAATATCAGGTAAATACTCAAGATGTGTGACTGGTGAAATGCAAAATATTCTATTCATTTAATATTCTTGATGAATAGTGAATTAGTCTAATCACATTAGCTATTCTATTCATTTATTAGGTGAGAGTGATTAGAAGTGAATAGCTGCAGAAAAACCCTCTCAAGTTGCAAAAATTAGACTTCCGTAGTTTTATTATGTTTATTTTCAACTGAGGGTAATTGTCTGTAGCTTTCTCTGCGACTAGTCTATGCACCTCCCCTGTCTTTGCCCCTTGAAAAACTGAATGTTGGTTACACGTGTAGAGAGAGCAGATAAGACAATGAAGATCTGGTACACAAATGCTCCTGGACATTGTATAAACATTCAAAATATCGCACACAAACATTGCACTTCCAAGGGCATAACCACACTATTTTTTATTCTTTTTAATTGAGGTATAATTTACATATAATAAAATACATAAATCAGTCTGGGCGCAGTGGCTCATGCCTGTAATCCTAGCACTTGAGCCCAGGAGTTTGAGACCAGCCTGTGCAGCATGGTGAAACTCCATCTCTACAAAACAAAAAAAAAATTAGCCAGGTGTGGTGGTGCATGCCTGTTGTCCCAGCTACTCAAGAGGCTGAGGCAGGAGGATTACTTGAGCCCAGGAGGTTGAAGCTGTGGTAAGCCATGATCAAGCCATTGCCCTCCAACCTGGGCGACAGAGTGAAACCCCATCTCAATAAAAACAAAAACGTGGATCTTAAGTGCAAGCTCAATGAATTTTGACCTATATATGTGCCCGTGTAATCACCACACAGTTCAAGACACAGAATATTTCCTAGAAAGTTTCCCTGGAAGTTACCACTGTTCTGACTTCTATCACCATTCAACGCCGTAGCCTGTTCCTAACCTCATATAATGGTATCATACAGTCCCATATTAGTTTTAAATAACAGTATAGTCTTTTAATACCGAAAAAATAAACAGCCCATAATTCCAGCACCACCAACAAAAAAAAGCCCTCAAGATTAAAACAATTAATAAAAGTAATGCAAGAATAGCATGAGGTATTTCAAACATTATAGAAAAGCATTTGGAAAAGCTCTGATCTCCACCCTTCATCAAAAGTTGTTCATTACTAAGTAAACCCTGCTGGGTATTCCCCATTGGCTCCTTCAGATCTTCCCTCCACTTTGCCATCCTACCCTGAGTCCCTGGAGGCTGAACTCCATGGGCAACATCAATGGCTCCCTTGCTGTCTAGTGCCCACTGTGTTCTGCCAAAGGGAGGTGCTACCAGCAGAAGGGAAGGCAAGTGGTGGGTTGGGTAGGGGTATCTACTCCCCTGGCTCACTCTCTCCGTTACATTGTCTGAGATAGCTGGATCTGAGGCAGCCTTCTCCTAGAGCTAGCTACCCTTCCCAAGAGCAGGAACTGCTCCTTTCCCTTGCTACTTCAGGCCTAGATGTTCACAGTTCCCAGCTTTGGCTTGCCCCTGCTTGCTTCAGCACTTCTGTTTGGTTTTCCTTAATCCTTCCAACACATTTGTGAATAGCCCCTTCATTAAACTCTCCTCACTTGCCCCATCTGAATGTTCTGCCTTCTGCTCTTGACTACCACTCATGTTAAATTTTAAATAGACTTTATAGAAAACATATTGGCATCCATTGTGTACATAGGCTCTAAACTGCTCTATGGGTGATAAACCATTTCCAGAGGGTTTCTTTATTAGCCACCTCTTTCTAATCAAAGTAAACTTAAGTCATCCACACACCTAATTCATTCTGATCTTTAAGCACAATGACAAGTGATCCAAAGTACGTAATCTACTATCTTGAAGCTTTTAAGTTATTTTTACCATTTGAATTTACTTTAGGTCTACCAACAAATCTCCTGTTGCAATTTTAGACCTTGTATATACAAGAGCTTTAGAAAAGTCATTTATCTTTCCCAGTAAGCCTAGCATATGCAGGGTATAGACAAGAAGAGCTTTGCTAAAGCTCCACGTGGAGAAAAAACAAGCTGGAAAAAGTGGATCCACTGCTTGAAGACAAAGGTATAAAGTTGACATAAGACAGAGAAGGTCAAGGGGACTTTGACATTTATAAGAGTCTGCTATGTGCCAGGCATTGTGTTAAACACTTAACCGACATTAATTCTCACATTAGCCACATGAAGTTATGTGCTTGGCATAATTCGCAGATGAGGAAACTGACAGGTCTGAGATTTAAATCCACTATCTCTTTGAGTTCCAAATCCCAAAACCCAGCTCTCAGTCTAGAAGTCTGGTCTTCAGACATGAGTGGGTAGAATCAACATGGCTATGGTGAAGCTGAAGCCCAAAGAAGACAAGAAAATAGGCAGCAAACAACTATTTTAAGTGTTCAAATCCCTAAATCCAGACAAACCACATGGTGGAGTGTGAAGAAACTCAGATGTGTTGCCAGAGCCACCATTTTATTTAAAGAACTGTAGAAAGAACCAGAGATGTTTACCGCCAAGAGGCAAAGGCCTGAGAGGAAGAGACAGGCGAGAACTCTAGGGAGAAAACCATCTCTGGAGCTCCAGAAGATGGATGCTGAGCCAGGGGATGGAGCTTACAGTGAATGGGGTTTGTTCATTCATTCACTTGTTCAACAAATAATTATTGATAATCTATCGGGTGCCAGGCACTGTACTCAGTGCTAGTAAATATAACAATGAACAAAAGAGACAAAGTGCCTGCTGCTGGGAAGATTACATTTTGTGGGAATAGACAATAAGTAAAAGAAGAGAAGAATATATGTCAGTTACCGACAAGTCCTTTAAAAAAACAAAGCAGAGTAAGGAGGCTGTAAAGAGCTGGGGGCATTACTTGCTTTTATCCAGGGTGGTCAGGTTCAGCTCTCTGAGAAGGTCTCTTCTCTGAAGAGAGGAAATGAGCCCTGTGGGTATCTCAGAGGATTCATGTGAATATCCAGGAGGAAAATTTTCCAGGTTGAGGGAACAGCCCCTACAAAGGCCCTGAGGTAGGCGCATATTTCACTGTGTTTGAAGATTGGCAAGAAGGAGACTGTGACTGACACTGAGTGATCCTACCCAAGGGTGGATAAAGAAAGTGGCAGAAGTTAAGCCCAGAAAGTTTGTAGGGGATTGTATGGGGTCTTGGGCTGTGGAAAGTACGTTACCTTTTACTCTGGGTGAAATGGGATACTACTGGAAGGGTTTGAGCTGAGGAGAGACTAATTATGACGAATGTTTTCAAGGGATATTGTATGGAGAATAAAGTATAGTTGAATGAAAGTTGAAGCAAGGAGACAAGAGGCTGTTAAGATAATCTACATGAGAGGATGGGGCATGAGACTAGACTCAGTGTGGAAGTAGATGTGGTGAGAAGGGGTCAGATTCTGGATATATGTTGAAAGTAGAGGCTATAGCAGTTGCCCTTGGAATAGATGCAGGGTGAGATAACAAATGAAATGTCAAAGATGGTCCTAAGGCTTTATAGATCAGTAAACTCTAGACTGGAAGGGTCACTCATGAAATTAGGACAATTTCAGAATAACGAGTTTCAGGGAGATATCAGGAGTTCATTTTCGGACGTGGTGAATTTTAGACGTCTCTTAGACATGCAAGCAGTTGGCTGTATGAGTCTGGCTTTCAGGACACAGGGTCTAGATGGATATGTAAATTGGAGGGTTATCAATGTGTAGATGATAAAACCATGAGATTAAGTTAGCCCTACCCTGCTCACTGTTTGTAAATGAGAACTGAGCCCTGGGACATTCCAAAATGTAAAGGTTAGGGGATGGGGAAGAACAACGTAGAAAAGACTGAGGAGGAACTGTCAGTGAGGTAGGAGAACCAAGAGTGAGTGGTTCCCCAAGGACTAGTGAAGAAACTACCTCAAGGTGAAGATGTGATCCACTGTGGCTAAAAATCAATCATAAAAGACCTTCTGGCAATGTGAAGGTCTTTTTCAACCTCCACTGGGGCTGCGGACTAGTGGAATAGTGAGAACAAAGACTGAGTGGATTCAAGAAAGAACAAGAAGAGAGAAAACAAACAACACATAGACAACTCTGTCAGTGAACTTTGCTGGAAAGAAGAGGGCAGAAGTGGGGTAGTAACTTCAGAGGCATGTAGGGTAAGGGAAGATGAATTTTTTTTGCTTGGTTGATGATGGCTTGGTTGGTTTGTTGGTTGGTTGGTTGAAAGATGGAGGCTATGCCATCATGTTCTCAGGCTGGCAGGGATGATCCAGTAGAGCAGTGTTACATGTAATATAATAGACAGAGACAGCATTGCTGAAGGCATGCCCTTGAAAAGGACAGAGAATGGGAGTCCCAGTGCACAAGTAAGAAGCTTTCCTTAGAACCAACCAGAGTAGCGCTTATCTTACCTGCTTTATATTTCACATTCCACAGAAAACTTCATTAGGGGAATGTGATGGTAAATATTGAGTGTCAACTTGATTGGATTGAAGGATGCAAAGGATTGTTCCTAGGTGTGTCTGTGAGGGGGTTGCCAAAGGAGATTAACATTTGAGTCAGTGGGCTGAGAGAAGCAGACCCACCTTCAATCTGGGTGGACATCATCTAATCAGCTGCCAGTGTGGCTAGGATAAAGCAGGACTAGACTTGCTGAGTCTTCTGCCTTCCATCTTTCTCCTGTGCTGGTTGCTTCTTGCCCTCGAACATCAGACTCCAAGTTCTTCAGCTTTTGCACTCTTGGACTTACACCAGTGATTTGCCAGGGGCTCTCGGACCTTCCGCCACAGACTGAAGGCTGCACTGTTGGCTTCCCTACTTTTGAGATTTTGGGACTCGGACTGGCTTCTTTGCTCCTCAGCTTGCAGACTGCCTATTATGGGACTTCGCCTTGTGATTGTGTGCGTCAGTACTGCTTAATAAACTCCCCTTCAAATATACATCTATCCTATTGGTTCGGTTCCTCTAGAGAACCCGGACTAACACAGAGAAATATATGTTTTGTTGCTAATTTTAAAATAATAAATGATAACTCTCTATTTGCTTTATTTATTCCTCACATGTCCTTATGAGTCACTTTACTGCCATTTTACTAATAAGAAAACTGAGCCTCAGAAAATGTACATGACTTCATCAGGTTCTCAATGTTTGTATGAAAACTGGGGCTCAAACTGGGTCTGGCTAATTCCAAAGGCCATACATGTTCCACAACATCAGAGCCTGGAATTCCCCCAGAGGGACCACCCGCTAATGAGAAAGGGAGGACATCATCTCACAATGCCAGGCCAGAACAGAACAACGGAGGTAAACCTAAAGGCTCTCAGGTACAAGTGCTAGGAGGCAAGACCAAGTGATGCGCCTGGGCTCTCTGCAGTGAGGCCTTTGGGGAAGGTGTGGTTCGGCTCACAGCTTTTAAAGGTAGAGACGGATGGGAGCATCAGTACTTCACAAGGTTATGGGAAGGTCATGAGAAGAGCTGGACTCCCAAGTCAGGCTGATTAGTCTTGTGTGAATGAGAAGGAGCAAATGTTTCCACTTGAACTGAAAGTGCAGGAGCAGAAGCTGAAAAAAGCATGATGGGGCTTCTTGGGGTTTCCGGTGACTTCAGTAAGCGCTTCATAAATTCCTACCCTGTGTGCAGCATAATGCCTCATGCTCAGAAAAGAAAGAGGAACTGTCATCCTGCCCTGAAGGTACTTACACAATGAACAATTTCAATTCAGCATAAGATTTTGAAATACCTTCATTATTCAGTCTTCTCCAGAGAAACAGAATCAATAATACATAGATATAGAAATGTAGAATAGAGATAGAAACTTTCATTTATTTATTTAAAGAGATTTATTTCAAGAAATTGCCTCATAGGATTGCAGGGGCCAGACACAAGTCTGAAATGTGTAGCACAGGCCAGCCAGTTCAGGAAACTCAGGCAGGCATTGATGCTGCAGTTTTGAGGCAGAATCTTTTCTTCTCTAGGAAACCTCAGTTTTTGCTCTTAAGACCTTTAACTGATTGGATAAGACCCATTTGCACTATCCAACGTAATCTACTTAAAATCAACCAGCTGTAGCTGTTAACCACGTTTACAAAATACCATCGAAGCTACATGTGGATTAGTGCTTGATTAAATGATGGGATACTATAGCCTAGCTAAATCGACACAGAAAGCTAACCATCACAGCATCCTATTACTTCCAGGATTTATTCCATAAAAGCCAAAAACAGATACTTTATTTTAGAGACATTTGTCTTCTTGAAGTATTATTTCCTGATCGAATTTTAAACTGTAGACCGCCGAGAAGCCAGAGGAGGGGCTGTCTCTGAGCCGCTGTTCTATTAAGGGTGGTTTATAAAGGTTCTAATTCATTGTAATTAATTTTTATTGTGCAGACTCAGAAGCCTGACAGAGTGAAAGGGGATAATTTCACAAGTCAAAATAACAAATAAGTAAATACAAATAGTCTCCAACTTCCCAAGAGCATATCATGCTCTCCAGGTCTCCCCTCTCTGAATGAAACACAGACCCTGACCCCGGTTTCCTCCCAGGAGTCCTGGCTCTTGGACCCTCCTACCCACCAGTTTTCTAGAAAGCTAACCTGATCTCAAAGGCCCTCAACCCCGACAATCCTCTTCCTCACACCTGGACAATTTTAGGGCTGCTGTCAATCAGATGGAAGAGCTAGATTTAGGGTGTTGAAACAGTACCCTCCGCCAAAAGGGCGAGAGATTCACCACTGGGAGAAAAGCCCTCATTGGTAGTGCTTTTTGCGAACAATGAAACCTCTGCACGGAGGTTCTTTGTTCAGCTCCATGCTCGGAGCCCCTGCGAGCTGAACAGTGCACGCGCGTGTGCTGGATATTAAGTCTCATTTCAAAGACGTTGCAGTGGGCAATGACGTGGGGGCCGGCTGGGGGCCAAGAGTCGGGGGCTCCAGCCGCTTTGAGCATCGGTCTGGAGCGGGGAGAGCTGGAGATGACTTCAGTCCCTGTGATGGGGTGGGGGAACATTTTCTTTTCCAGAAGGTAAGGGAGTCAAGGGGCACTTTGAGTCTCTCAGGCAGGAAGCCTGTGTCGAGGTTTTAGGAGAGTCTTGAGTAATGACCAGTGTGGGTTTCTCACGGAGGACTCATTTATCTGGGTGCCAGTGGGTGAGCCCGGCTTCCCAAGCTTGAAAATTTAGATTTATTGGGTGCCAGAAATTGGACTGGACACCATTTAATAGGCCCACGCACCATGAAGGTGAGGGTAGGGGGATAAGAGTCAAGAGGGCCGCATGGATGGTGAAGAGACGGGGTGTGAAGAAAGCAAAACCTGATTAGTCCCATAAAATTCCAGCCACAGCAGGCAGGAAACACAAGACACTGGAGAAACTGATGGTTTATGAACAGAGCTAAGATGAGATAAAACTGTGGGAAGAGAGAGGTGGAGGCGAGTAAACAGTCTCTCTGAACTTAAGGAAGGGGTTACGAGAGAGAGAGAGAGAGAGAGAGAGAGAGAGAGAGAGAGAGAGGGGGAGAGAGGGAGAGAGAGAGAGGGAGAGAGAGAGAGAGAGAGAGAGAGAGAGAGAGAGAGAGAGAGAGAGAACAGGCTTCCGAACTCTACATGAAGACAAACCTTATGTTAGAAGGGGTAGATCGATAAAAAAGCCATTTGCTGGTTACAAAAGGAAAAGAAAACATATATCTTGTTCAGCCTCTTGATCTGAAACAGAAGAAAAGCTTTGGGATCTATGGAATGTGGATTTACATAGAGAGACCCCAGAATATATAAATACTCAGGCGACTTATAATGTGAAGAGAAAGGCAGAGGGGGACACACTTGCAGGAGGGGACAGAAGTGGGGGTGGGAGGGATGTCCAAACGCCTCACTCCTCAAGTGAACCCGGGGAATGCATATCCCTTCTCTGGGTGCCTCAAGCGGTCTTCATGATTTGTATCTACTTTCTCCCTAGGGCTGGAAGAAGCAGTTTAAAAATGACATTTTAGGCTTTGAGACATTTGAATAAAATGACTATGTAATGTGACACAGCTGATCTGAATCTCTTTACTCACAAACATAGATGTTCATTCAATATTTATTGTGTTTTTTCCTCTGTGCAAGGCACCACACTAGGGTCATGGGTGTAGGAAGGCATGTTAGGCACTTCATTCATTCATTCATTCATTCAGGAAATATCTAGAGGCAAAAAAAAGAGCCCATGACTTCCCTGAAGATGCTCCCATCCCAGGGGAGGAGACGGACAAGTCAATTCCCATGTACGGCACTCAGGAGACCTGAAAGAGGGGCCCATGAATCAGACAGAAGAATCACAGAAATCTTCCCAGAAGAGGTGACTGTCACACCTAGATTGTGGGCTCCTGAACCTCAGTGGTCTGCTGAAAGTCACATTTGTCAATCAAAAACCCAGAAGTTTGGACTAGATGTCAGCACACATGTAGATATTTGGAAATACCCAGCTTTCTGGTGATTATAGCCAAATGCCCAACAGCATTTGTATATAGGAGTGCATGCATGTGCCTTGTAAATAATGCAAACATGTACCATGTAATAATTATTTTTATGAGCTATTCTTCTTCCATGAGAACACAAATTATCAAAATTCTTTGCTATTTTTATACATTAGTTTATTACTTCTCCTCAATTAATGTGGTGAAATTTATATCTTTGCACATGTCCAAGGTAATAACCCCTGCGGCTCAAGGCAACTAGATAAGGCCTTAAAGAAATCAGACTGTGAACAAGGCAGAAGTTTAATAAAATTTGAAACTTACAGCTATTAAGCTATATGAAACCTCATGCTCACAAATATCAGGCAAATATCACTACAGAATTATTCCATGTAAGAAGCGCTGGTAAAAACTTTATATCCCATTTTTGTGACAGGTTTAAAGACTATGTTGGTGTGTGTGTGTGTGTGTGTATGAGAGTGCATGCATGTATGTATGTTTATATGTATACATATGTATATATGTACATACATGTATATATGTACACACATGTATGTATGTACATATGCATGGTATATTTATTTGATGTAGGGATGTTCTAGAGGAAAAAAAGCAAAATTGTGAAGGTGATGCTTCCTTTAACAGTCCCCAGTCACCTGTTCTATTTCTTCTTATTTCCTCTCTCTCTAGTCACCCACACCAACCCCTAGGGAGCCCAGAGTCTTCAAGCCTCTCATTTGTGTATTCCCTCTCCACCCCCAGGAAAGCTTATCTCCTTATCCCTGATTCACATAAATATCCTTCCTATGGAACATTTTAATTTAGACAAGCTAATATAGCCCTAAGCTGAAAGATAAATTCCTGATAAAGGGAGAACTTCAGGAATGAAATAGCAACAATTCAAGGGTAGTCTGAGGGTGGGGGCTAGAGAAACAGGAGACTTGTCCTGGCCAAGCTAAAGGTAAAACAAAGAAAGCATGAGCCTGAACACCTGGAGAGTAGTTTTCATGCTACTTTGTAGTCCATTGAACAAGTCACTTTCACATCCTCTTGCCGCAGTCGGTCTGTCTCTTTCTGTCTTCTACAGCCCTCGTAATCACCTCAAATGGATCATGTGTCCAGTTGCATAATTACTTATTAGTTACTTGTTTCTGACCCTCTCACTCCCTAGACTATGAGTACCTAAAGTGAGGGGACCATGTCTTCCTAGCATGGTGCCTAGCATGTCATGAGTGCCCACAAGGGTGTTGAGTGCTTTTCAATGAATTCAACAATTCTGTGTCAGTTTCTTCCCCTGTAAAGTGGAAGTTTGTCCATTTATCCACTCACATACTTACTCACTATTCACTGTACAGCCTGCAAGGTTAAGTGTTGTATGAGGCACAGAGATGCATAATCTGCAACTTACGTAAAACAATATTCCCTGCCTACCTCTCAGAATCATAAAGAATAACAAAAAGATCATGTGTATGAATGAGCTTCAGAAACTATAAGTGCTACCAGAGGTAAGGGACGATGTTACTTTTACAACCTGTGCCATGCTGATGCTGTGTGCTCTCCTGGCCCTGCAAGTGTTATTTTTGCAGATTCCCCCGGTCTCCCTTCTCTGTGGCTCCCAGCAGATGTATTAAGTGTAATCTTGGAACCGTTCCAGGTTTGCTCTTTAAGACTCAGAATGTTCAATATTTCCTTCACGGAGCAGGCCGCCCTGGCCTGGCCTGGCGCCAGGGATTCTGACGGGTGCAACCCTCAAGCATCCCTGGAGTCTGGGCCCCAGCCCCAACTTGTCCAGGTTCCACGGGGCTTGCTTGGGAAGCAGCGACAAAGCCTGAACAGAGACTGCCACCGCAGCCCCACCAGCTTGTATCCAAGATGATCTGCTCTCCGACTCCCTCCAGTGCAGCAGCTGAGGAAGGGAAGTGGTACTGCTGCCTGTTCGAGCAGCCTGGGCCCCTCAAGAGGCAGGTGGGGCATCTGGGCTTCCCTGAGGCTCTGGCTTGGTTGACCACGGAATTAGTACTTTTGAAAGGTTTCCACAGGAAAATGAAAGAACAGCAGTGAGCTGAGTCCCCTGGATGTTTGCTGGGCTAATATCATGGAAGTTGACCCCACCTGCATAGTGTGGGTGATGAGACCCCATCTGGTTTTGCAGCGAGAGCTGCCTCCCTGTGACTACTAAGGGCTAAGGCGTCCTCTTTTTTACAGTGCCAGCACAAATGGAATCCATATCCTTCTCCAAACACTGATGGGGAAGGATGGGATTCTCAGGAATCTTTGGGAGCACTTCCTTTTGGACCCCTGTTCCCCTCCCCTCCTTCTTTTTAATTAATTTACATAATCACTTGCACAGGCTGAACACATGTGACACATTCTGGACTCCTGTTTGCATTTGAACAGGAATTAGATTTGTGCTTTCAATTGTCGTCTTTTTCCGACTTTTCCCCCACCCTTTGTCTTTTCATTTTAGCCTCCCATCCCCTCCTGATTTTTCTTTTTTCTCCAACTCTCTCATACTTGGTAGATGACATGATCACTTGCAACCTCCCTCCATCAAATATCCACCCTCTATCTCAACCACAATTCAACTGAACAAGTACATTCTGCAATAGAAAGGAACAGAACTAAGAGTTGTTGAGCTCCCACAAGGCACTAGGCATGATGCAAAAGTCCAAAATACAGACAGAAAACCTCCCTGCACCCACAGAGCTCCCCTGCAGCCTGGGAGCCTGAGCTGGTGTTAAAGCATCTATCTCATGCGCAGGCCTCCTAAGACAGTGAAGATGTATTACAAAAGTAAGGACGAGAGGTCCAGAGAGCTTTAAAGAACATGAGAGCCAAAGCCTAGCCAATAAAGAAATTTTCCCACAGCAGGCCACTGAAAGATGATTACCTTCCCATGTGGAAAGAATTGCAGTCCCAGGTGTGTTCAAGTTCTGCCTTTAACTGACCTTTGTTGAGCTGTAATCTCTTCTGACCTCAGTTTCCTCATTTATAAACCAGGACAATTGAAACAAATAACCCCTAATGCCTCCCAGCTCTGAAATGCTTTGAGTCTGTGACTTCAACGACTTTTGTTTTGTGATCCATGTCATAATAAAATTACATTAAAATGGACTGTAGATACAGGTAAACGTTAGCTGTTATCTTTTTTTCAGGAGAGCAGGTCCCTGATTTTGTCATAATGGTCTGTGTTTGGAGCTATAGTGTTTTATGATAGTTCTCTGTATATGTACTGTGTCTGACTACCAAAATGCTGTGTTCCTTTAAGTATTTGAGTCCCATGCTAGTTGGAAAGACAGACCGTTATTCAGTCTGTAACCATTTTTACTGGAATCCTGTTCAGACAGAGCTTGAGCTGCTTGAGCTAATGAGAGAGACAGAGAGCTTATCAAACCCTGGAGGTCAGCAGATGTGGGCTTTATGGGAAAAGGCAAAGAACGGGGGAAATTCCATCATGATCAGGAAAAGGCACTTACAGTAAACTCTGTTATCCATCAGAGGAGCACTATAGTTTGTTCTGGTAGGTGGCTACTAAACAGTCTTTGTAGATGCTGCATGGATGACCAATTTTCAAAGATTGAAAGAAACATGGAAATACACCAAAAAGTTGCTATAAATAAATTAATCCTCTTTGAGGATTCCAAAATCCTTTGTATGGGCATTGCATAGCAAGTAAGAATTATGAGATTGGCAATATCATTTTTGGTACGTGTTGCAAAACAACAGGGCCCCTGTTTATCAATCCTGTTATTTTTGGAAAACAACCACAGTAAAAAACAAATAATACTACCAAACACAAGCTGGCTTTACCCCCGATTCCTATTTCCAGCATCTGCCTTGTTCCTGCCCCATGCTCTGCCCACTCTTGGCTGCAACCATTTCTAAAAAAAAAAAAAAAAAAAAAAAAAAGACTTGGAGTCTCCCCATATGCACCTGTGCTCATGAGGGTCTTCTCTCTGCGTGAAAGCCCTCCTTGCTGTCACTGCCTATTTCTCTACCTGCCAAGGTCAGCTATAGTCTCTTTCACAAAGCCATCCATCATACCTCCCACCCCAAGACATGATTTTTCCCATTTCAGAGCTTACACAGCACTTTGTTTTCACCTCTCTTAGGGTGTTTATTAATGTTGCACTCTTTGGAAACACATGAACCTATCTTGCCCTGGCACTTTCCTTTAGAGGACGTTTGACACATAATCTGCCTGAGGATATTAATGTTCTCATTGGGCTAAACTCTCTTGATAGGAATAGACACATTTTTCCATTTATCAACATTTTTAAATTTTGAAAGCATAGATCAGGTCTGTATTTCTTATCCCTAAATGCCTTCAAGCATCCTGAGGGCAGAATCAGATCTAAGCAATCTGCATTTCCGTTTCTAAGCAGAGCCCAGCATATAGTGGGAAGTCATCGATATTTGTCGAATCTAGCTGATCATAATAAAAAGACATCTTGGCACATTAGCACGTTAGCAGAATCCTAGGTTGGAAATGTTCACCAAACTTAAATCCCTCATCTTCAACAGAAAAAAAAAAATCATATTTTACATCGGAAACAGAAATAACAGCATGTGCAATCTCATTTTGAAGCTTGGATGGTTTACTTTAATAAAGAAGTATCACTATCCTGTAATCTTTAAGGAGTTTGTTGACAGTAGCTGCTTTGTCATGTTGAATCTTTGCATCTGGAGGAATAGATTCATCCATTTATTCAACAAATATTATTGAGCACCAACTATGGGCTGAGGGTCTGTTAAAGTTTTAGGGGTACCCCAGTGGAAAAGGACAAGATTCTTAAACTCATGGAGATTATATTGTCAAGCGATATAAAGAGATCAGGGTAGTGATGGTTACATAAGCATTTTAGATAGGATGGTCAGGGAATGCTTTTGCTTGCAAATAACTACTTGACTTGAAAAAAGGTAAGTGACCCATGAAAATATATATGAGGAAAAAGCTTTCCAGGCAAAAGGAAAAGCATATGCAAAGGCTCTGTGATAGGAGAATGCTTGGTGTGTCTGAAGAAAGGACAACAATGTAGCAAGAGGGGAATGATCAGGGATGGGGGTTGGGATGGGTGGCAGGAGATAAGGTCAGAGCAATCGCAGTGGCCCAGATTTAGGAACTGTCGAATATGTGAAGACCTTAGGATTTTACTCTGAGTGGGATGGGTATCTTTGGAGCATAAAGTATCACACTTGAAGTGTGACAAGATCTGGCCTATGTTTTAAAAGTATCACTCTAGCTGCTATATTGAAAACAGATGAGGAGACAGCCAGAGCAATGGACGAAGATAGAGGCACTGAAGCCAACTGGGAAACTACCACAATAATCCAGGATGCCGGTGACATGAACTAAGGTGGTGAGTGGTGAGGGTGGTAAGAAGTGATTGGGCCCTGGGTATAAATTTGAAGGTAGAGCTACCAGCTTTGCTGAATTATTAGATATGGATTGTGAGAGAAAGATCTCTAAGGTTCTTAGCCTGGGCACCTGGAAGAAAAGAGTCACCGTTTACTGAGATTGAGTAGAAGGTGGAAGTAGGTTTGGGATGAAGGAGCTCAGGAGTTCAGTTTTGGCTATGTCAAGTTTGGGATCCTATTCATCACCCAAGTAGCGATGTTAAGAAGGCAATTAGACATAGGATATTGGAGTTCAGGAAAGACGTTCAGGCGGGGTAAATAAATATATGAGTTGCCAACAAATAGTAAATATTTAAAGCCATGAGACAAATGCATAGAAAAGAGGAAAGATGAGGAGAGACTTAGAGAATGGAGCCCTGGAGTAATGGGAGGAAATAAGGTAGGACCAGCAAAGATCACAGAAAAGGAATGGTCTTGGGAGGGAGAGGGAGAACCAGGGGGTACAGTATCCTAAGAGCCAAGTACAGAAAGTGTTTCAAAGAAGACAGATGATCACTTGGGTTAAATGCTGCTGATAGATCAGATGAGAGGGGAATGCAAATTGACCATGCATTTAGCAGCTGGCAGGTCATGGTCACCTTGACAAGAGCAATTTTCTGTCAAGTAAGGGGGGTGAAATTCTGACTATGATGGGTTCAAGAGAAAGTGAGACAGAAGGAATTGGAGCAACTAATATCAATCACTCTTTCAAGGCATTTTGCTGTGAAGGAGAGCTGAGAAAGCCATGATCGTTTGAAAAAGCAAACACTTCTCTGCTCTAGCTAAAGAACCACCTGGAGGAAACTCACTGCCTTCTGAGAGCATCATTTTTACTTACAGGGTGAGAGGATGAATCAAGGCTGGCCAGACACATTCAGAGGATGTGCCTATGTTCTGGAAACTTTGAAAACTACTCCTTTCACATACTAGAAGCATGGAAGATCCAGCTGCCCTCTAAGGCCTCAAGTCAATCGTCCCTTATCCACCAAAATGACTAAATACCATCTGACACTTTCCTTCTCTCCTGCTTGAGTCTGAAGACACATTTGGAGTCTCTTGCCACCAGCAGAATGACAACCCTTGTAGGTCTGTCGGGAAACCTGCAAGAAACCTGAGATGGGAAAAGGTCAAGAACTGAAAACCAATTGAAAAACCATATTGTGAGCAAACTTCTGTCTAAGGAGAAGGGAGAAAAAGGGAGGGCCGTGACCAGGGACAGACAGGAGCAAAGGCACCCCCAGCTCCCTCAATTCCAGAGTGCTTGGGCATCCTGCAGCAATCTAGGAGCTCTTTGATTGCCTCTTTTAAATCTGCGTCAAGTGATGCTGAGAACATATATTCTTTGCTGATAAATGTTTCCCCTTTGAGCCTGGGGCCTACTTAACAGGTACAACCTGCTTCGTTGGCTTTTCAATTTGGCCTCTTTAACTTAAGCTCAAAAGCTGGCAGGGGGTGACTCATACCAAAGTGAAACTTGGCTTTTTAGTTCAATTTCCTCCAGCCACTTGTTATCGAGCGCCTACTAGCGCTGCATACTCTGCTAAGTTGGTGCAAGGATACAACTTAAAAGAAAATATGACTTGTTTCCATGGAGCTCATAGTCTAAGTTAGTCCGTTCTCAACCAAGGGTAAGGGGGTGATTTTACCCCCCTGGGGGACATTTAGCAATGTCTGTGGACATTTTTAATTGTGACTGCTAAGGGAGAGTGCTACTGCTATCTAGTGGGTAGAGGCCAGGGCTGCTGATAAACATCTTACAGTGCACAAGACTGCCTCCAACCACAAACAGTTATCCCATCTAAAATGGCAGTAGTGCCAAGATTGAGAAAGTCTGGTCTAAGGCATAGCACAGCACAGGTACAAATAAGTAACACAAAGACAGAAAGTAGGCTGTGATAAGCAGCAGTCCACATTTCCAGGAATCCTCCAAGTTGTAGAAAGACAACATCTTAGGTTCAGCAGCTAGACCCAACCAGCAGCAATTCCAGGCAGTCCTGAGAACTGTACTCTACAGAACAAAGCCTAGCAAGTTCCTTCGTGGGTCCCTGTATACCTGTATACATCCTTCTTGAGGTACAAGGCTCTTTTGTACATTCTGTCATGTTCTATCTTCACAATGATCCTATTCAAAGGTCCTCCACCTATTCTCATAAATAGTCCTTCTCTATTTGGAAAGGCCATTCTCTCCAACTGAGAGAGAGACAGGCACCTCAGCTTAGCCAACCAGAGCAGCCAAATTGACCCTGGCAGTCACCAATGACAGATGCCCCAGACAGATGCCCCATCCCTCTTTAGTGGCTGCCTGAAGCAAACAGAATTGGTATAGCTCCATTTTAGATTGGGAAACTGCAGTTTAGCGACATGACTAGGACCTCACTGCTCCTAACTTGCAGTGTCTTGGCTCAAACCCAGGCCTTTGGACTCTAGATGCAGAATTCTTTCTACGACGAGAAGCTGCCTCTCTTTACAGTAATAACAATAGACATTAGCATGTTTATGGAGCTTGACAATTTACAAAATGATCTTCATGTTCATTCTTTTTCTCCTCAGGTATTTACTGGGACACGTGCATGGAAAGATGTGGAAGATACATTTTAGATTTAGATTGAAGGAGAGAAAGAGTCATCGCCTATATTCCTATCACTCACATTCCATCTATCCACGTTCATACATAAATCATGGAGGATACGCAGCTCCAGAGCCACCTTGCATCAAAATGGAGTCAGATTAAAGGGTTCACCAGGTAGCACTATATACCTCATTTATGTGCCCTTAAAAAACTTAGGGAGATTCATTCAAGTATGGTATGGCTTAAAATGACCAAGTAAAATCTGAACCACATGCTTTCATTTAAATACAGATGGTCAGGTTTTGTTTATGTATACAGAGCCAACTGCTTATACAAAGCAGTGCCCTATACATATAAACCAGCAAAGCCATTTTAGAACCCAGAGTTTGAAAGAGTCTATATAAATGTAAATTACCAACCAAAGGGAGCATAAAATCTATGGATGTGAAAACGAGGCTACTATCTTTCCTCATCCAGCTCCCATTGGCCAGCATGGGCTCACACAGTGTTCTTTCATTTGGGGAGTCTCTGGAGCATGGATTTAGCTGGGTTTCTGTGCCAGCGCTTCAGCTGGCAGTGATTGGGTGACCTGTGTTTCCTCGGTGGTTGTTTGTCATTGTCAGGGGGGCTTCCAGATTTTACAGAGTCACTGAGGTCTTCACACATCTGACTTGTCATCCCAGCACTATTTTGATCCCTTGGATTCTCCAGCAGGCATCTTCCAGGAAAATTCTGGGAGTGTCTTGGCCCAATATTTCAGTCTAATGGCTAGGAGTAAGCTAGCTTTATCCAAGGCCAGAGCTGAGCTCTAGTTGGGGATAAAATGCTACTGAAAGCTGTATTAACTCTTGTACGCCACTAATGTGTTTCATTTGGGACCCTGCAGTAGCCATTCACTAAATGGGATTCTGAGGCATGAAAAAAGCTAAAGTGAGCTGCTCCCAACTTGTCATTCTCAACAAGGGAGGATGTGGCTCACAATGGGGGAGGGGATTGGTTGAATAAGAGGGAATGTCTGCAGACTGCTTGGAGATCCACGCAGGAAGAACCCAGAGAAGAGCAATCTAGCTAAATGAAATTGTTTTCTTTCTTTCCAACCACGGTATATTAATTGGGCACAAATCGGTCCACTTAATGCCAATTGACATGAAGCAATTTCCCATTTGATGGCAATTGAAAACCCATGCTTGCTGCCCCAAACCTGCTTGATTGTTCCAAACAGATTTCCCATCCTAAAGTGGAAATGGATTTAATTTGATCTCTTCAGTCTGTTCGCCATTATGTGTGAAACAGTGGTATTAGTAGCCAGGAAATCAGCAGCTACCTGAGCAGTGGAGTGTTCAAAATGGAGGCATTCCAGCTGCTAGTGAAAATTCAAAGGAAAGAGTCATGCTATAGTTGTGATGGCTAGAGACCTGGGATAGCATAGCTGTTCTTTGTTGTTGTTGCAGCTGTCTCATTGTTTTGATTTGTCTTTTTCTTTTTTTTTTCTTTGCTGTTTCCTTAAGACTAGAGAAGCTTAAAGCTAAGGAGAGTCCTAGACAGCTACCTTGTCCAGTTGTCACTTCAATGAGGAAACCCAGGCCTAACGAAGTTTTGTGACCTGCCTCAATAATAATCTGCCCACTCTTTCTCACTCCTATGTCTTTTTTATTCTCATGCATTCCTTGCTCTCACTTCCAAGAATTCTAGCTCAGAGCTCTATCAGTGGAGAGGTAATGGAAAGAATATATGGTCTTATAACTGAAAGTCTTGAGTTCAAGGGATGTACCTGAGTCATGTGACTTCTCAGGGCTTTGGTTCCCTTATCAATGAAAAGGAAATACAGATCCATGCTTCCCAGTGTTTTTGCAACAATCGAATGAAATAACTTATGTAAAAGCAGTTTACAAATTACACAGGATCATGAGATGTAAAACATTATCCTACCAAAGCCCAAAGCCCCTCCTAGACAGGAGACAGGCCAAATGGGTCAAAGGTTGGAAGCCAGGCAAGAAACAAGCTTTGATCAAGTGACTGTAAGAATCACGAGAGTACCAGTAGTACTCTCCACTCATACCTCAAATCAGAGAAAGATTAGGGATTAAAAAGCTGAAAATATTTGCAGATGTTTGGCATGGCTGTGGTTAGCCTTTTGACTTTTGGAACAAATAACATCTAGTGATATTTGTTTCACTTGTTTTTCTTTTAACTAAGTTGTCAGCCTATTATTTGAAAACTTTTTCCATTCTAAAGCTCTATTTTGTACAGAGATATCTAATCACTTATCTGAACAAAGATGCAAACATGGCCATATGGCCTTTGCCCTGTCAGAGAAATCAGTGAAATCAGAAAAATCAGAGAGGCTTATCCTATATTCTACTGGTAATATACCCAAGTGTTTTATAAAAGTGTTTATAGAAATATGTGCCCTTGGTGTTTTCACAAGTACAAGCATAAATGAAACAAGATATAGGCAGATCATCATAGATGAAGCTCTGGGCTAGGAGACACAAAGTGTTGCTTCCTGGTAGCTGTGTGACCTAGGGCAAGTCACTTCACCTCTCTGAGCTTCTGAGAGATGAACAGGGGTACAAAATGGGGATATGACAATATCAACCCCAGGATTAAGCGAGATGACATCATCCAGGTCTCAGCTCAAATACCGCCTGTTCAGAGAGGCTATAGTGCATGCTGTGGTGGGTCACACAGATCCCCCCTATGAGGACTGAAGCATCATTTGCCTAGCTGCTGTGAGTGTTGGAAGCTGGATCCCCTTCATAGATTGCCCTAAGCTGCCCATCTCGCCCAAAATCTTCCCACCAAAGGCAGCACACATACAATAGTGGCAAATAAGAGGGTCTAAAGGCCAACTCCCCAGCCCCAACTCAAGATACACTGTAGGACTACCCCAGCTTCAAGGCTTTCTGTGGTGTTGGAGGCTGAGGTTTTGCTGTGACTATGTAATAGCCCAACTTCTGTTTCTGCCCAATCCTATTTCCTGTACATATGCTCCTAGACTTATAACAGGGTTACATCCTGATAAACTCATCACAAGTTGAAAATATCAAGTTAAAAATGCATTTAATACTCCTAACCTACCAAACATCATAGCTTAGCCCAGCCTACCTTAAACATGCTCAGAACGCTTACATTAGCCTATGGTCGGGCAAAAACATGTAACACAAAGCCTATTTTATAACAAGGTGTTGAATATCTCATGTAATTTATTGAATACTACACTGAAAGTGAGAAACAGAATGGTTGCATGTGCACTCGTAGTGCAGTTTCTACTGAATATATATCACTTTCACACCATCTTAAAGTCAAAAAATTGTTAAGTTTAGCCATCTTTTTTTTTTAATGGGTAATTTTCTTTTTTTTATTATTATTATACTTTAAGTTTTAGGGTACATGTGCACAATGTGCAGGTTAGTTACATATGTATACATGTGCCATGCTGGTGTGCTGCACCCATTAACTCATCATTTAGCATTAGGTATATCTCCTAAAGCTATCCCTCCCCCCTCCCCCCACGCCACAACAGTCCCCAGAGTGTGATGTTCCCCTTCCTGTGTCCATGTGTTCTCATTGTTCGATTCCCACCTATGAGTGAGAATATGCGGTGTTTGGTTTTTTGTTCTTGTGATAGTTTACTGAGAATGATGATTTCCAATTTCATCCATGTCCCTACAAAGGACATGAACTCATCATTTTTTATGGCTACATAGTATTCCATGGTGTATATGTGCCACATTTTCTTAATCCAGTCTATCTTTGTTGGACATTTGGGTTGGTTCCAAGTCTTTGCTGTTGTGAATAGTGCCACAATAAACATACGTGTGCATGTGTCTTTATAGCAGCATGATTTATAGTCCTTTGGGTATATACCCAGTAATGGGATGGCTGGGTCAAATGGTATTTCTAGTTCTAGATCCCTGAGGAATCGCCACACTGACTTCCACAAGGGTTAAACTAGTTTACAGTCCCACCAACAGTGTAAAAGTGTTCCTATTTCTCCACATCCTCTCCAGCACCTGTTGTTTCCTGACTTTTTAATGATTGCCATTCTAACTGGCGTGAGATGGTATCTCATTGTGGTTTTGATTTGCATTTCTCTGATGGCCAGTGATGGTGAGCATTTTTTCATGTGTTTTTTGACTGCATAAATGTCTTCTTTTGAGAAGTGTCTGTTCATGTCCTTCGCCCACTTTTTGATGGGGTTGTTTGTTTTTTTCTTGTAAATTTGTTTGAGTTCATTGTAGATTCTGGATATTAGCCCTTTGTCACATGAGTAGGTTGCGAAAATTTTCTCCCATTTTGTAGGTTGCCTGTTCACTCTGATGGTAGTTTCTTTTGCTGTGCAGAAGCTCTTTAGTTTAATTAGATCCCATTTGTCAATTTTGGCTTTTGTTGCCATTGCTTTTGGTGTTTTAGACATGAAGTCCTTGCCCATGCCTATGTCCTGAATGGTAATGCCTAGGTTTTCTTCTAGGGTTTTTATGGTTTTAGGTCTAATGTTTAAGTCTTTAATCCATCTTGAATTAATTTTTGTATAAGGTGTAAGGAAGGGATCCAGTTTCAGCTTTCTACATATGGCTAGCCAGTTTTCCCAGCACCATTTATTAAATAGGGAATCCTTTCCCCATTGCTTGTTTTTCTCAGGTTTGTCAAAGATCAGATAGTTGTAGATATGCGGCATTATTTCTGAGGGCTCTGTTCTGTTCCATTGATCTATATCTCTGTTTTGGTACCAGTACCATGCTGTACTTGTCTCAGCCCAAAATCTCCTTAAGCTGATAAGCAACTTCAGCAAAGTCTCAGGATACAAAATCAATGTCCAAAAATCACAAGCATTCTTATACACCAATAACAGACAAACAGAGAGCCAAATCATGAGTGAACTCCCATTCACAATTGCTTCAAACAGAATAAAATACCTAAGAATCAAACTTACAAGGGACGTGAAGGACCTCTTCAAGGAGAACTACAAACCACTGCTCAATGAAATAAAAGAGGATACAAACAAATGGAAGAACGTTCCATGCTCATGGGTAGGAATAATCAATATCATGAAAATGGCCATACTGCCCAAGGTAATTTATAGATTCAATGCCATCCCCATCAAGCTACCAATGACTTTCTTCACAGAATTGGAAAAAACTACTTTAAAGTTCATATGGAACCAAAAAAGAGCCCGCATCGCCAAGTCAGTCCTAAGCCAAAAGAACAAAGCTGGAGGCATCACACTACCTGACTTCAAACTATACTACAAGGCTACAGTAACCAAAGTTTAACCATCTTAAGGTGGCAACTGTCTGTACTTCCCCAAGAATGTTGATTCTGAAAAAGCTCCACAATGAACTTTCTGTGTGCTAATCTCCATCTCAGATTCACTTCCCACAGAACCTGACCTGCAACAGGGCTCCTTACTGGCCACACTGGATAAGATAGAACGATCTCTCCTCTGGTCACTTTCTATCCCATTGCTTTTTGTCACTATCTGAAAAACATATCATTTATTGATTTGCATGTTTATTGTCTGCCTTGCCACCATTATAATAGATAGTCCATGAGGGCAGGAACTTTGTGTTTTATCCGCTGCTGTAGGCACTGGGGCCTAGCACACAGTAGGCACTCACTAAATACTTGTTGAATAGAAGATTGACAAATGTCAAGAGATTCCAGTTTGCTAAAAACAATCAGCTGTACAAATGTTCGTTTATATATTTTCTGAGAATTTGATTTGTGCTTCAGAAATGATGTGTTAAAGATAGTTGATGAGTATGTTGTAGGACACATCCAGTGAATCACTTATCAACAAATTAATGGGTCCTGCCTCAGTTGGCATTTCTGTTGTCAAACTAATGGCATGTTTATTTAAATTGTCCTTATTTTGAGCCCTTAATTTATCCAAAGAGTGTTTTTAAACATGAAAATAACAACTTGAAAAAATTGAACACCAGAGTGTTTTTATATGTGCAACAGCAAGTACCATATGGATAAATGAAGAGCTCATAAATAAGGAAACATCTATCAATAAAATGAACAAATTATTAGTTAAATAATGGAACAGTATTGTCATAAGCAAGTGCAATTCATGTGTTGATTCTTGTAAGACTCTACTGGGTCATGAAGGTTTCAAGTCCAGAGATCTGAGCTCTAGTCATTGCACCTCTGGTCCTGAGTGTTATCATCTGTGAAATGAAAAAGACGCTTTTTATTATCTCTCTTAACTCTGGAATTTTATGTGCCTATATTAGCTGATTGATGTACATCAATGATACACTGACGTCAAAGAAGACGATATAAGCTGAGTGTCATGGACGCCTATAATCCCAGCAACTCGGGAGGCTGAGGCAGGAGTATCCCTTGAGCCAAGGAGTTCAAGACTAGCCTGAAAAACATAGTGAGTCCCCATCTCATAAAATTTTTTTTTAAAAGAGACAACATACAACATAGACTATACTACCCATTGTATAAAGGATAAGGTTAAAATGTCTTAACCTATAGATACTTGGGGTGAAAATTAGACAGCCTATGTTTGATTACTTATTTGGTCTAAATTCAAGGGTCACACTTAAACTGATTTTTAATGAGATTGGATTAATAACTAGAAAGGCAAATAAACTTGAAGCCAATGGACAATAGATCTATATGACAGTTTATGATCCGGGGATAGGATGTATATTTCTGGGCCTTGAAGGGCAGTGTTTTTCAGAGTGTTTCCTCCTAAAATCTCTTGAGAAATGCAATGCTCTCCTTTTCTCCCATGTGTGAACCAAATGAGGTGGTACCACACCCTGTCTGCTATCACTTTTTATTTCGAGTCCCAGCTCAGAAAAATGTAACCTTTGTTTTTGTCTCTCTTTTCCTTTACAACTTCGCTTTCCCATCCTCCTTCATTCTCTCATTCTGGTCACCTTCCAAGGCTTCATTCTCTACTCTCTTTCCTATGTACTAATCTCCAATGATTACCTCATCTACCTACACAGTTTTGATTGTGAGCAGATGGTTCCCGTGGAAGTATTTCTGGCCACAACTACTTAATTTCTAAATCAAAATCCTAACTGTCTACTGGACACTTCCACTAGCTATCTCAGCAACTCAAACACATATCTAAATAGAACTTAACTTTTTCTTTACCAGCCATATTTACTTAAACAGCTCTTGATCCTCACTTTCCCCACTTAGTTTGTGATAGCACTCATCTTCAAGTTTTTGCTTCCTAAATCTGAATATTCACTCAGTTCCTTCCACTTTTCCTTTTTACTGTCTTCTGCCTATGCCTCATTTTCACCAATTGCATCCTAATAGAGATCTTGAAGAGGATAACACATTCAATAACCAACAAAACTTACATCACTATATTGAAAGTTGAGTCTGGCATGATGGCTCATACCTGTAGTCTTAGCTACTTGAGAGGCTGAGGCAGAAGGATCATTTGAGCCCAGAAGTTTGAGACCAGCCTAGGCAACATAGAGAGACTGTCTCTCTCTCTCTTCCCTCTTTTTGTTGTTGTTTTTTTTTGTTTGTTTGTTTAATGAAAGAGAGAAAGTTGAAACAGGCAATAGTATGGAAAAAATTATAGTCCAAACTCGCTGTTAAGCATAGATAAAGCCGTGCTAAATAAAATATTATTAATAGAAAATCAAGTCAAGCAATGAGAAAAAAAGACATTATGATCACGTTGGGTTTATACTAGGAATTCATATATTGCTTAACATTAGAAATTTGATTAATATAATTCATTACATTAACAGATTAAAGAAAAAAGCTATATGATAATACCCATAGATTCATGAACACAGGAAAAAAATTGAAAATTGATAAAATTCAACACCCATTTGTGATTTAAAAAGAAAAAACTTAGCAGCCTAAAAATGGAAGGAAACTTTGTACTTCTACCAAAAACTTCCCTCAGACATAATTTTTAATGATCAAATGTTAAAAGCCTTATAAAAAAGATAAAGAAATTTCTGCTACTGACACTTCTGACCATATAGACCAATAGAGGTCCTATGCATGACAGTTAGAACAAGTCAAAGAAATAGCAGGTGTGAAGGTTGAAAAGAAAAACAAAACTGTTAGTGCTTGCAGTGAATATGATTTTCTATGTGAACAATAAAATAAAATAATCTACAGAAAAATAGAATTAATAAGAGCATTCAATAAGATTGTTGGATGTAGAACAAATACACAAAAATGAACTGCATTCCCTTATAATTTAAACAAAAATGTTAAGATGTAATTTGAAAAATAGTACTTACAATACCCAATATAAAGTACCAAATAATCTCATAGAAAATGTACAAAATCTTTAAGGAGAAAATAATAAAATATAATTGAAATTATTAAACAGATCTAAACAAATGGAAAGAGGTATCAAGTTTATGGATAAGAACACTCAATATCTTAAATATGTACATTCTCCCCAAATTAATCTAAATAAATCAAAGAAATTTCAATCAAAACTTTAACTGAATTTTTCATGGAACTTGAGAAGCCAGTTTCTACAATTGTATAAAGGAGCGAACAGCCAAGGAAAACTAAAAAAAATGTCTTGGAAAAGACTTGCTTTAAAAGACTTCAGGACTGACAACACTGTGGGATTGCAAAAGGGATGGACAAATCAAAAAAACAACAAGCTGTAGAGCTGAAAAACAGATCTGTGTATATGAAGAACCTTCATATATAATACAGGAAACATTGCCAATAAGTAGAGAAAGGATGGGCTATTCAATAAGTGATGCTAGGATAACTTTTATACATATGAGAATTTTTAAAAAAGGATTTCTACCTAATTTCACATCCATTAAAACCCATTTGCAAAGAGGTATGAGTATAAACAAACTTTTTGGAAGTACTTATAGAAGAATATACTTATGACTCTGAGATGGGGAAGAATTTCTAAAAGACTCCAGGCATAAAATCTTTGTCTTAGTTTGTTTGTAAAGAACATACATTTATTCTCACAGTGCTGGAGGCTGAGAGGTCCAAGATCAAGGCAGCATCTGAGAGCCCAGTCTCTGCTTTCAAGATGGCAACTTGAATACTGTGTCCTCTTGAGTACAAGTGAATGCTGTGTACATGAATTCATGTACACATGAATATAAGAAATACTGTGTCCTCATACAACAGAAGGGGGGAGGCCAAAAGGGGCAAACTCCCTATGTCAAGCCCATTGATAGGGGCACCGAATCCCATTCATGAGGGTGCAGCTCTCATGCCTCAGTCAAGTCTCCCAAAGGCCACATCTCCCAATACTATTGCACTGGGAATTAAGTGTTGGTTGTTTCTTTATTTTTTAAGATGGGATCTGTATTAGTGCATTTTTACGCTGCTGATAAAGACATACCTGAGACTGGGTAATTTATAAAGAAAAGAGGTTAAGTGGACTCACAGTTTCACGTGGCTGGGGAGGCCTACAATCAGGCAGAAGGCAAAAGGCATGTCTTACATCGTGGCAGGCAAGAGAGAGCTTGTGCGGGAAAACTCCTCTTTATAAAACCATCAGATCTCATGACACTTATTTACTATCATGAGAACAGCATGGGAAAGACCGACCGCCATGATTCAATTACCTCCCACTAGGTCCCTCCAACAACACATAGGAATTGTGGGAGCTAAAATACAAGATGAGATTTGGGTGGGGACACAGCCAAACCATATCAGGGTCTCACCATATTGCCCAGGTGGGTCTCAAATTACTGGCCTCAAGTGATCCTCCCACCTCAGCCTCCTGAGTAGTTGGGATTATAGGCACATACCACTGTGTCCAGTGGAAATTAAGTTTTAACATGCATTTTGGAGGGGAAGAAAGCATTCAAACCATAGCATTCCACCCCTAGCCCCCCAAAATTCATGTTCTACTCACACAGAAAATACATTCATTTCATCCCAATAGCTGCAAAAAGTCTTAACTCATTCCACATCAGCACTAAAGCCTAAGTTCAAAATCTCTTCTAAACATCATACGGGTCACAGTCAAGATACAATTTATCTTCAGGCAAATTTCCCTCTAACTGTGAGCCTGTGAAATCAAACAAGTTACATTCTTTCAAAATACAATGGTGAGACAGGTATACGATATATGTCCCCATTCCAAAAGGAAGAAATAGGAAAAAAGAAAGGAGTAACAGTTCCCAAGTAATTCCAAAACCCAACAAGGTGAACAACATTAAATCTTAAGGCTTGAGTATAATCTCCTTTAACTCCATGTCCCGCCTTCAAGACATACTGGGGTAGGGGGTGAGCCCCCAAGGCCCAGGCAGCCCTACCCCCACAGCTTTGCAGGAGGCAGCTCACACAGAAGCTCTCAGGGGTTGGAGTCAGGGGCTTGTGGCTCTCCCAGGCTGGCACTGCATGCTGGTGGCTCTACAAGATTGAGGTCTCAGAGTGGTCCTGCTCCCACAACTCCATTAGGCATTGCTCAAGTTGGTGGCTATCAGTGGTGGGCCTGTCCCTGTAGAAAACCTGGGCTCTAAGGCTGTCTGAAACATCCTTTAAAAGTCTAGCTGTAGGTTGTCATGTCTCCACAGTTCTTGCACTTGGTGAGCTTGCAGAGTTTGTATCATATGGACACCACCAAGGTTTATAGCGCCTTCTAGAGCGATGATCCCAGCTGCATTTGTGCCCACCTAAGCCATATTTGGAGTGACTGAGGAGTGCATGGTGCTAGAATACGAGGAGTAGAGACTTAGAGTGACCCTGGGCAGTGGGTTTTGAGCACCCTGAGCCCCTCCCTGAAAACCACTTTGCCCTCAAAGCCCTGGCACTCAGAGCATGTGATAGATGTGGCATCCTCAAAGATCTCTGAAATGCCTTTAAGGTCATTCTCTTATTGTCTGGATGAATAGCACCTGGCTTCCTTCTATTCATACTCATCTCCTTATCAAAAGGTCATTTGGTCACAACCTTGGTTTTCTCTCCTAAACATGCTTTTTATTCTTTACACGAACAGGTTATGAATTCTCTGAATCTTTCAATTCTGCTTCCCTTTTGATTATAAATCTCATCTTTAAACCATTTCTCTCTTTTTGCATTTTACTATAAGCAGTTAAGAGAGACCATGTGGCTTTCTGAACACTTTGCCACTTGGAGATTTCTTCCACAAATATCCTGGTTAATCACTCTTCAGTTCTGCTTTCTGCAAAGTCCCAGAACATGGACGTAATTCAGCCAAGTTCTTTGCCGCTTTGTAGCAAAGATGACCTTTCTTCCAGTTTCCAATGCCTTTTCTTCATTTTTAAGACCTTATTAGAATGGGCTTTACTGCGCATAGTTCTACCAGCATTCTGATCATGACCACTTGAGTAACCTCTGAGAAGAATGAGGCTTACCTTACAGCTACCCTCCTCTTCTGAGCCTTCACCAGAATCATCCTAATGTTCTGTTCATGGCAATACTCCATGTTTACTTCAAGACTCTTCCAGCCTCTACCCATTACCCAGTTATAAAGCTGTTTCCACAGTTTTAGGTATTTGTAATAGTAACATCCTACTTCTCTGGTACCAATTTCTGTCTTCATCCTTTTGTGCTGCTATAACAAAATATCACAAACTGGGGAGTTTGTAAAACACACAAATTTATTTCTTACAGTACTGCAGGCTGGAAAGTCCAAGATCAAGGTGCTGGCAGGTTCAGTTGTCTGCTGAGGGCTGCTCTCTGCTTCCAAGAGGGTACCATGAATGCTGTGTCCTCTGAAAGGGAGGAACACTGTGTCCTCATGTGGCAGAAAGCGGAAGGGCAAAAGGGGCAAACTCCTTTGTCAAGGCCTGTTATAAAAGCACCTAATCCTATTCATGAAGATGGAGCCCACATGACTCAGTCTCCTCACAAAGGCCACACCTCACAATAATGTTACATTGGGGATTAAGTTTTAACATGAATTTTGGAGGGAACAGAAACATTCAAACCATAGCACCATAAAAGAAAAGATTAATTAATTTACCTATATTAAAATTAAAGTATTCTGTATGCCAAAATACAAAACTGGAGGGACTTTTGGTTGTAAAAAAATGTGGGGGGGGGGGTCAGTTATTTATTAAAAATAAATATAACACTGGACAAAATTGTTAAAATCAACCATGTGAAGGTTCTGGAAATCAATCAAAGATTGACAACTAGTTGAGAAGCATTTATTCCTGTGACGTGACTAGAGCTTCGGATAAGAACAGCAGGAGTCTCTACTCTTCTTGCTTGAAGCTGCCCTCATCCCTTGCCCCAGTTTGGTTGGTGAGAACTGTGGTTTTGCCGGTGCTAGGCTAAGCTGAAAATCCAGAAGTCTTGCTGCCAGAGGAAGCCAGCTCAAGCCACCATAGTGGTTGGAGGGGTGTTTTGAGGAACAAAAATCCAGGGCTTTTCCAGATAAAAATAGTTAATTATATAAGCAATAAATGGGGAGAAAAAACCCACAGTAGCTTGCTAATTTAAAATTGCAACTTCATTTGCAATAGTTGATCAGCCATAAATTTAATTGGGAGATCTTGGAAACAAGAAAGCCATAGAAAGGCCAAAATAAACTCTATTTACACATACTTTTGAGACTGGGAAACAGACTTGTGCCAGGGACACCCAAGACAGTCTGGAGATAAAAGCCAAGGGAGACTTCAGAACTGTTTGCAAGCCTAAATGGTTTCCCAACTCACACACAGATCAATCATCACAGAATAAAGCCTTCCCAAATCAAGCACAGTCTCTACCCAAACCATTGACTGACCATTAAGCTATGTAGACACAGGAATCTAGGATAAAACTTAAAGACTTGAGTAGACACATCAGTGACTAAATATCTTAGGGAAACAGTTATTTCTCATCCTCACCAACACTTAGTATTGTTCATCTTTTTTATTATAGCAATTTTACTGAGTATTTTGTGCTATCACATTGTGGATTTTATTTGCATTTTCTTATTGACTACTAATGATGTTGGGCATCTTTTCATGTTTTTATTAGCCACTCGTATCCATTTCAGTGAATTGCCTATTCAAATTATGTGGTCATTCTTTTAAAAATACATACACTCCTGGTAGAGATAAAAATGGTACAACCATTTTGAAAAATGTTTGGCAGTTTCTTAAAAAGTTAACCATGGAATTAACATACAACTCAGCAATTTCACTCTATATATCCACCCAAGGAACATCAAAATATATATCAAACCAAAAATGTGTACACAAGTGTTCATAACAACAGTATTTGTAATAATTTAAAGCTGGAAACAATCCAAATGGTCAACTGGTGAGTGGATAAACAAATAATGGTACAGCCATAAAATGAAATAGCATTCAGCAATAAAAAGAAACTAATGTTTTATTTAATATCCTGGATGAGCCTCTAAAACACTATTCTAAATGAAAGAAACCAGACGCAAGAGACAACATACTGTATCCCACCATTTATATGACACTTTTAGAAAAGGCAAAACCACAGACCCAAAGCAGATTAGTGGCTGGCTGGGGCTTGGTTTAAAGTAGCATTTGTGTTATATTCAAATGGGTCTCAATAGCTTTAAATTAAAGGGTAAATATACTTTTATATGTGTTCAGTGGGGCACACTGATTCCTGATCCTTGAAAACTTGTAAGGCCACCTTAGCTTATCATGACAGGAAAGAAGACCAATTATGTTATGGAGCTCAAAGTAAATATTTTGGCCCTTTGTTATTTAGTCTTAACGGGACACTCATGGCAAATGAGGTTAAAACGTGGTTGAATTTAAGGGTATGATTTAACTTTCTTCTATTACAAATGAATGTGAGGTTAAAAGTCAGGTTGGTCAGAGAGAACCCTGACCAAAAAAAGATTGTCTAAATGGACATGCCAGACCCAGATCAGAATTGGGAACCACACAGAGGCAGCAGAACTTTTGAGTAGAGTAGAACTCAGCAGACAGAAAAAAAGAGAATCTCATGCTCTAATCCTGGTCTGGTCACTAACTTGCGGTGTGACCTCAGAAAGTTCCTTCATAGCTCTAGATGTTTCCATGGACTCACTGATCTGTCCACTCTAGACCTGGGCTGCTGAGACTCATCTCTTTCTCAAACCTTAGTTGTTAACATCCCAGTGAGGCTGGTGAGACCCCTCAAAAAAGAGAGAGCTGTACTGGGTGTAGGAGAGAGAACTCGGTAACAATGGAGAATGGGAGACAGGGAATAAAGAAAGGAAGTAGAAGAAAGGGAACATATAAAAAGAATGCACTTAATTGGAGTGGTTTCATGTCCACGGAATCAAAATAATGCCTTCACAAGCTCATGAAGGTATGGATAAGGTAGGAAACCTATATTACAGTATTAACTCTTAGACAAACTAGCTGTATGACTCTTTTAGTTTCCATATTTTTTCTCTATAAAACAGGAGGTTTCGGCTAGATGGTCTCCAGGAAAAATAATATGATGAGTCTAGGTTTAAGGATAAATAGCACATAATGTATACATAAACCTTGAGGGATCTGGGAGGAACCAACACATGCTTCGAAGTGGGCACGGTTTCTATCTCAGAGCCTCCCCGTCCTCCAGAAAGTGGGCCCCTCCCTGTCAGACTTCCCAGACTGCGCTGGCGTCACCAAAGTGCTGCTGGGAATTTCTCTGCACGGCCCTGTTCCTAAATCAGCTCCCAGGAGATTGGAGGATGGAGGAGGGTGCCAGTTTAAAGCAGGTCTGATATGATCCAGGACCTGATAGGGTTTCAGCTGCCGGCTTTCTGGCAATTTGCAGAGAAATTAAAGAGATTCTTACAGAGGTTAACTGGCTCAAGTCCTAGGGAGGGGACGCTGTTGCTCAGAAAGAAACACAAAGACTAGATTCATCTTGTTCAAGAATTATAAATAGAACAGTCAGATTAGATTCAGCAGAGGAATGGGGGCAACACGAAGGAGCCAAGTTCTCTCCAAATAAAGAGGCAAGGCTCCAAAGACTCCCAAAGCTCTGAAACAAACATAGCAGGCTTTCAAAAGGGGGAAAAGGAAAGATAGGAAAGAAGAAAACTTCAAGAAATGGGACTTTTCTTTTAACCCACAACTCTTTTCAGGCAAGAAGGCAAAATCATCAGGTCCTGAAAGAGGTTAAAAGTAAATTATCACCCCATAAGGAGTCATTCATTGTAAAAGGAATGAAAATAGTTTACTGCTCTATGGAAAATGCAAGCTGCTTCCAAACTTTAGGTTAAAAACTTGGCAAAGGGAGTCTGACCTCTCTGTGCGTCTGTCTTGGAGATGTTTATCCAGCGGATGGAGATACTGAGATGGGCCTGGCTTTTCAGGTTTGTTTTTTTGTTCCACATAAGGTTTCCATCAGATACAGTCTGCAAATTGGTGCAAGCCAGGAGGCTGCTGGAGGAGAGGCCCTGATTTAACTGCAGCAGGCCCTGTCTAAACTAGAAAGAACTCTGCTTGGTAAGAACCAAGTGACGGTACACAGCCCAAGCTGAACGCAGCCCTGGGAGCTGGTGGAAAGCGTACCAGCTCCTGCTTTCCAGGTCTCCTTCCAGCACTAAATGCCATATGGTCTTAGACAAGTCACTTGACCTTGCTGGGCTACAGATTCCCCATCTGTTTCACAGTGAGTCTGGCTTCCACCTACATCTCAAGGTTGTTTTAAGGAATCATATAAAATGAAAAGTTCCGTAGAAATGCCTTTGGTAATGTAGGCAAAAAATAGTTCCCTTCAAGGAGGCCCTAAGTGCTTTCTACAAAACCAGAGATAATGGAGACTGCTGTCACATCAAACATTTCCTGTTCTCCACAGGATGTCACCTAAGTACCTCCAGTCTTCCATCTTCTAAAAGACAGTCTACAGAGGCAGTGAAACACAGGGATTAATAGCATGGGTTTTGGTTTAAGACAGGCTAGGATTTGAGCCCCTGCTGTTTCACTCATTAGTAGTATAATATTGGGAAATTTTCTGTTTGTTTCTCAGTTTACTTCACTGTTAAATGTGAACAATGCTGGCCTCCCAGGTTTTCTGTAAGGAATAATACAAATGGAGAATATGTAAAAACCACATAGCATGTGCTCAATAACAAGTGGCTATTATTTTTAATCATTACTCACTACCATGGCCACCAATTTTATTATCTCTGTATTGAATCAGACAAGCACGTCTTGATTTACTCAAATGACTCTAGCTGTAATTTAAGTCATTTTGTTTTGTTTCCTTAAAATATGTATGTTTTTCTTATTATAAATGTAATATATGGATATAATTCTGCTTCCAGGAAGATGAAGAGGGCATAACTTTCCATATTCTTCCTGCTAAGTATAACTAAAAGCACTGGACAGAATATATGTAAAACAAACACAGATGGAGAGAAAATGGTAGACCACCTGGGGACCTCAGGGCTCCCCAAAACAGCACAATGTCAAGTTTCTTGCATTCTCTTTTTCTTCATATATCCCATATGTAGAGCTGAAGCAGCCAGCAACCAGAAATACCAATGGGCACAGATTAAAAATAGCCTCCCTATCCAAAGGACCAAGAAAGGAGTGGCCTAGGAAGATAGAAAGCTTTTTTAGATAATAACCACTCTACTCCCACCAAAAGGCACAGAACCTACTGTGACCCCATCCCACTCATGCCAGCAAAGGCCAATGGGAAGCCTAGACTTAGAATTATATGACAAAGGTTTTTAAAAAGAAATGAGAAAAATGCTTCAAAAAACAATAACAAACACACCTTTTTTTTTTTTTTTTGAGATGGAATGTCACTCTGTCTCCCAGGCTGGAGTGCAGTGGTGCAACCTTGGCTCACTGCAACCTCCGCCTTCTGTGTTCAAGCAATTTTCCTGTCTCAGCCTCCTGAGTAGCTGGGACTACAGGCACGCACCACCACACCCAGCTAATTTTTTTTGTATTTTTAGTAGAGACAGGGTTTCACCGTGTTAGCCAGGATGGTCTCGATCTCCTGACCTCGTGATTTGCTCGCCTCAGCCTCCAAAAGTGCTGGGATTACAGGCATGAGCTACCACACCTGGTAACAAACACACTTAAAGCACATTTTTTTAAAGCCTCAGCAGAGAAATAGAAGATGTATAAAATAACTAAATAACTAAATGGAAATTTTAGGACTGAAAATAAATTAATTAAAATTAAAACTTAAATATAAATGGATTAATATCTTCAACTAAAAAAACAAAGATTACCAGCCTGGGCAACATGATAAAACCCTATCTCTACAAAATATTTATAAATTAGCCATGTGAGGTGGTCTGTGCTTGTAGTCAGAACTGCTTGGTAGTCTGAGGTGGGAGGATCACTTGAGCCCAGGAGGCAGAGGTTGCAGGGAGCTGTGATTGTATCACTGGACGCCAGCCTGAGCAACAGAGTGAGATCTTGTCTCAAACACAAACAAACAAACAAAAAAAAAAGCAAACAAATAAAAAATCCACAGATTAAAAAGAAAACAAATATGATTCAACTATGCTACCTACTAGATATTCACTTTAAATCCAGAAACAAATAGGTTGAAAGTGAAAGAACAGAAGAAGATATTCTATGCAAATAGTAACAAAAAGAGAAGAGTGGCTATTAATGCCAGACAAAATAGAATTAAAATTTTTTTTTAAATTACAGGAGAAAAACAAGAATGTCATATATTAATAAAAGATTCAATGCATCAAGAAGATACAACAATTATAAGCATTTTCACATATAATAACACACCATCAAAATATATGAACTAAAAATTGACAGAATCGAAGAGAGTAATAGTACAATGATAGTTGGAGGCTTTAATAATCTGTTCTCAGTAATGGATATAACAACCAGACAGAAGATAAGTAAGGAAACAGAAGACTTAAGCAATAAAATCAACCAACCAAATCTAACAAACATATACAGAATACCCTGACCACCAATGACAGCACATACCTTCCTCTCAAGTGCACATTGCATTCTCCAGAATGGGGCATATGTTAGGTCCAAAGTTAAGTGTCAGTAGATTTTAAAAGACAGTTATCTTACAAAGTATCTTCTCCAACCACAATAGGATGAAGCCAGAAATCAATAATAGACCAAAAATTGAAAAATGGACACATTTGTGGAAATTACACAACATAGTCTTAAACAACCAGTGGATCAAATAAATCACAAGGGAAATTAAAAAATATCTTGGGACAAATGAAAATGAAAACACAACACAACACAACATATCAAAGCTTAAAAACACAGTGAAAGCAGTCCTAAGGGAGTTACCTATAACCATTAACACTTATATTAAAAAGGAAGAAACATCTCAAATCAACAACCTAACTTTACAAGGTAAGGAACCAGAACAAGAAAAGAAAATTAAACTCAAAGCCATCAAAGGAATAAAATAACAAAGATTAGAGCAGAAATAAATAAATAAGAAAGAGAAAAACAATAGAGAAAATCAACAAAACCAAAAGTTGGTCTCTTAAAAAGATAAACAAAATTGACCAATTTTTAGCTATATTGACTTTATCTCTTTCTTTTTGTCTTTTTTTTCTGTTTTGTGGAGTATGGGGTCTCGCTATATTGCCCAGGTAGGTCTCAAACTCCTGGGCTCAAGCTATCCTCCTGCCTCTGCCTTCCTAAGTGTTGGGATTACAGGTGTGAGCCACCATGCCTGTGTAGCTATATTGACTTAAGAAAAAGGAAGACTGGGCCGGGCGCAGTGGCTCATGCTTGTAATCCCAGCACTTTGGGAGGCCAAGGCAGGTGGATCACGAGGTCAGGAATTCAAGACCAGCCTGGCCAACATAGTGAAACCCTGTCTCTACTAAAAATACAAAAAAATTGGCCAGGCATGGTGGCACGTACCTGTAGTCCCAGCTACCTGGGAGGCTGAGGCAGGAGAATTGCTTGAATCTGGGAGGCTGAGGTCGCGGTGAGCCAAGATCATGCCACTGCTCTTCAGCCTGGGCAACAGAGGGAGACTCCATTTCAAAAAAAAAAAAAGACTCAAATTACTGAAATCAGAAATTAAAGTGAGGACATTACTACCAATACTATAAAAATAGTTGTATGCCAGCAAATTGGATAATCGAAATAAAATGGACAAATTTCTAGAAACACAAAACCTACCAAGACTAAATCCTAGAGAAATAGAAATACTGAACAGACATAACTAGTAAGGAGATTCCACTGGTAATCAAAGAACTCCCAACAACAAAAAGCCCTAGACCTGACTACTTTAGTAGTGAATGCTACCAAACATTTAAAGAGCTAACATCAATCCTTCTCCAAGTTTTCCAAATAATTTAAAAGGAGAGAATATTTCCTAACTCGTTACATCAGGCTAGCACTGCCTTGATGCCAGAGCCAGATAAAGATACTACGAAAAACAAACAAACAAAAAAAACTATAGATCACTATGCCTAATGAAAATTGGTGCAAAACTATTCAACAAAATACTAGCCAACTGAGTTTAGCAGCATGTTAAAAACAGTATACATCATGATTTCTTCCTGGAATGCAAGACTCAACATATAAAAGTTGATCAGTGTAATTCACATTAACAGAATGAAGAAAAAAACAAGTGGAGCAAATACCACATGACCGTCTCAATTAATGCAGAATAGCATCTGATGAAATTCAACACCTCTTCATGGTAAGAATCAAACTAGGAACAGCAGAAAACTTCCTCAACATAATAAAAGCTATAATATAAATGAAAAATTAACAGCAAACATCATGATCAACGGAAAACAAAACTGAAAGCTTTTCCTCTAAGATTAGGAACAAGACAAAGATACACACTTTTGCCAATCCTATTCAATAAAGTACTGGAAGTTCTAGCTAGAGCAATTAGGCAAGAAAAATAAAGCCATCCAAATTGGAAAATATGTAAAATTACCTTTATTTGTGAATAATATGATCTTATGTATAGAAAATACTAAAGATTCCACAAAAAAAAGGTTAGAACTAAAAAACAAATTCAGCAAAGTAGCAGGATACCAAACCAACACAAAAAAAGACTGTGCATTTTTACAGACTAACAATGAACAATCTAAAAGGAAAATTAAGAAAATAATTCCATTTACAAAAGCACCAAAAGAATAAAGTGTTTAAGGATTACCTTAACCAAGGAGGTGAAAGACTTATACAATGGAAACTGTAAAACATTGCTGAAAGAAATTTTAAAAGACACAAATAAGTGGAAAGATATCCCATGTTCATGGTTTGGAAGACATAATGTTATTTAAGTTGTCAATATTACCCAAAGTGATCAACAAATTAAATGTAACCCTTATCAAAAGCCCAACAACATGTTTGCAGAAGCAGAAAAGCCCATCCTAAAATTCATGTGGAATCTCAAGTGACCCCAAATAGCTAAAACAATCTTAAAAAAGAACAAAATTGGAAGACTCAAACATTCAGATTTCAAAACTCAAGACAAACTACCGTAATAAAATAGTGTGGTACTAGCATAAAGACAGATGTATAGACCAATGAAACAGAATTTGGAGCCCAGAAATAAACCCTCATATATTGGGTCAAATTATTTTCAACAGGGGTGCTAACGCCTTTCAATGAGGAAAGGACAGTCTTTTCAACAAATGAATGTAAGCATGCAAGAGAATAAAGTTGGACCCTTACCTAACACCATATACAAAAATTAACTAAAAATGAATGAACTAAAACTATAAAACTCTTAGGAGAGAACCTAGGACAAAAGCTTTGCAACATTCTATTTGATAATGGCTTCTTGGGTATGACACCAATGACACAGATAATAAAAAAAGACATTGTATTTCATAAAAATTAAAAACTTGTGCATCAATGAACACTACTAACAATAAAAAGGCAACACACAGAATGGGAGGAATTTGGAAATCATATAAGGGATCAGTATCCACAATATACAGAGAATTCCTAAAACTCAAAAACCACAACAAAAAAGCAATTTAAAAATGAGAAATGTTCGCATGTTCTCACTTATAGGTGGGAATTGAACAATGAGAACACATGGACACAGGAAGGGGAACATCACACACCGGGTACTGTTGTGGGGTGGGGGGAGGGGGGAGGGATAGCATTAGGAGATATACCTAATGCTAAATGACGAGTTAATGGGTGCAGCACACCAACATGGCACATGTATACATATGTAACAAACCTGCACGTTGTGCACATGTACCCTAAAACTTAAAGTATAATAATAATTTAAAAAAATGAGAAAAGAACTTGAATAGACATTTCTCCAAAGATATACAAATGGCCAGTAAGCACATGAAATGATGCTCAACATCACTAATCATCAGGAAAATACAAATCAAAATAACCACAGATACTACCTCATACCCATTAGGATGGCTACTATTGAAAAAATAGAAAATAAGTGTTGGAGAGAATGTGGATAAAAGGGAACCACTGTACACTGTGGGTGGGAATGTAAATTGGTACAGCCATTATGGAAAACAGTATAGATATTCCTGAAATATTAAAAACAAAATTGCTATATAATTTAGCTATTCCACTTCTGAGTATATATACCCAAAAAAATTGAAAGCAGGGTCTTGAAGAGATTTGTACATCCATGTTCATAGCAACATGATTCACAATAGCTAAAACAGTGAAGCAACCCAAGTGTCCATCAATGGATGAATGAATAAACAAAATATGGTATATACATATAACAGAATATTATTCTGTCTTAAAAAGGAAGGACAATCTGGGCCTGGCATGGTGGCTCACGCCTGTAATCCCAGCACTTTGGGAGGCCAAGGCAGGTGGAACACAAAGTCAAGAGATCAAGACCATCCTGGCCAACCTGGTGAAACCCCATCTCTACTAAAAATACAAAAATTAGCTGGGCATGGTGGCACATGCCTGTAGTCCCAGCTACTCAGGAGGCTGAGGCAGGAGAATCACATGAACCTGGGAAGCGGAGGTTGCGGTGAGTCGAGATCACACCACTGCACTCCAACCTGGTGACAGAGCGAGACTATGTAAAAAAAAAAAAAAAAAGGAAAGAAAATCTGACATAAGCTACAACAGGGATAAACCTTGAGGATATTATCCTAAGAAAAATAAGCTAGTCACACACCCAAAAAAAAGACAAATACTGTAGGATTCCATTTATATAAAGTCCCTAGAGCAGCTAAATTCATTGAGACAGAAAATAGAATAACGGTTTGCAGGGGTTAGTGGAGGGGAGAATGAGTAATTATTGCCCAATGGGTATGGAGTTTTAGTTTTGCAAGATGAAAAGAGTGCTAGAGATGGGTGCTGGTGACAGTTGCACAAAAATATGAATGTACCTAATACCACTGAACTATACAGTTAAAAATGCTTAAGATGGTCAATTTTATGTCATGTGTCTTTTACCACATTAAAAATTTATTTATTTTAAGAAACAAACAAATATAAATGTTTTAAAATAAAAATTCAGTGGATGGGGTCAACAGCAGAGTAGAGAAGACAGGGGGATAATCAGTGAGTTGCAAGATAGAAAAATGGAAATTATTCAATCTGAACGGAGGAAAAACAGATTGAAGAAAATATGAACAGAGCTTTAGGGACTTATTAGATAATTAAAAAATTATCAAATATTTGTGTCATTAGAGTCCTAAAAGGAGAGAAAAAGTAGGGTAGAGCTGAAATGTACTCAAAGAAATAATGGTTGAAAACTTCCCAAGTTTGGCAAGAAACATAAACATACACATTCAAGAACATGAAAGAGCCCAAATAGGATAAATTCAAAGAAGTTCACACTAAGACACATCATAGCCATACTTCTGAATATTGAAGACAAAAAAATCTTAAAACAATGAGAGTAAAACTACATCATAGCAATAGAAGAAAAACTCTATTTGAATGGCAGCAGATCTCTCATCAGAAACTGTGGAGACCAAAAGGAAGTGGCACTACATTTACTGCAAGAAAACTGTCAAACCAAAAATCTATGCTCAGTGAAAATATCCTTCGGAAATGAAGAGGACTAGGGATGTTCAGATAAAGGAAAATTAAGAGTATTTTTTGGCAGAAGACCTATTCCAAAAGAGTGACTAAAATAATACCTTTAAGCAGAAAGGAAAATAAAAAGAAAATAAAGAGGGAATCTTGGAACATAAGGCATGAAGAAAGAACACAGTAAAAAGTATATGGGTAAATAAAATAAACTTTCCCTCTCTTCTTAGGTTTCTAAATTATGTTTGATGGTGGAAAAAACATAGTGTCTGAATGTGGTTCTAGATGTATGTACAGGAAATATTTAAGACAATTATACACAGGGAGAGGTAAAGGGAGGTAAGTTTTTATACTTCATTTCAGCTGGTAAAATAATTATGTCAGTAGACCATGATATGTTATGTATAAATAATATAATATCTACAGCAACCACCAAAAATAAAAAACAGCTACGCAAAAAGATACATTCAGAAACACTATAGGTAAATCCAAATGGAATCTAAAACCATGTTCAAGTAACCCACAGAAATGCAGAGAAAAAGAGGAAATAAAAAACAGAGAACAAGTAGTAAAAATTAAAATGGTAGACTTAAGCCCTAATATGTCAATAATTATATTAAAGGTAAGTGGTCTAAATACACTCATTAAAAGCCAGAGATTGGTAGAGTTGATTACAAAACATGACCCAACTATATACTCTACAAGAAACTCATTTTGAAAATAGCAATATAGGAAGGTTAAAAGTAAAAGCACAGAAAAAAAAGATATATCCTGCAACCAGAACAAAGTAGGAGTGTTTATACTGGTATTAGATAAAGTAGACTTCAGAAAAGAGAAAATTACCAGAGACAGAGGGGGCGTTATATAATGTTGAAAAGGTCAATCCACCAAAAAGACATAGCAATCCTAAATGTGTACGTATCAAGCAACAGACCTTCAACATATGTAAAGCAAAAACTTATAGAACTGAAAAGAGAAATGGATAAATACAGAACTGTAATTGGAGACTTCAAAGCCTCCCGCTTAACAGCTGATAAAACAACTAGACAGAAAATCAACAAAGGTATAGAAGAACTCAACATTATTGACCAACAGAATTCAATATATATTAATAGAACACCCAAAATAGCACTTCTTTTTAAGTGCCACAGAACATATGACAAGATTTACCATATCCTAGACCATAAAACAAACCTCATTAAATGCAAAAGAATTGAAATCATATAGAGTGTGTTTACCAATTGCTATAGGATCAAACTAGAAATCAATTTTTTAAAATGCAACAGGAAAATCTCCAAACTCTTGGAAAGTAAATACTTAAAAAAAATTAATGGGTCACAGGCGAGGTCTCAAGGTAAATTTTGAAATAACATTGAGCTGGAGGAAAAACACATAAATGTTTGTGGAACACAGGGAAATTTACATTAAATGCATACATTAGAAAAGAAGAAAAGTCTCAAATCAATCATCTAAGCTCCCACCTCAAGAACATAGAAAAAGAAGCGCAAAATAAACCCAAAACAAACAGAAGGAAGGAAATAAAAACATATAAGAGCAGAAATCCATGAAATTGAAAAACAGTAGAGGAAATCAATGAAACAAAGATCCTGTTCTTTGGGGAAAAAAATCAATAAAATGAACAGACCTTTAGCAAGATTGACAAAGAAAAAAAGAGAGAGGACACAAATTACCAATATTAGGACTAAAACAAGGATATCACTACAGACCTTGCAGACATCAAAAAGATAAGAGAATACTATGAACAACTCTACAAACCAATTTAGCAACTTTGAGGAAATGGACAAATTCCTTTAACTACTACAACTCATCCAATATAAAATAGATAATTTAAATATCCTTGTATCTATTAAAGAATTGAATTTACAACCAGGAAACACCCCAAAAATGAATTTCCAGGTCATTTGACTGGAGAGTTCTACCAAACATTTAAGGAAGAATTAACATCACTTCTATGCAACCTTTTTCAGAAAATAAAAGAGGACACCTAGCTTACTTCATGAAGCTAAACTAATATTACTCTGATCAAAGAAAACTACAGTCCACTATCTCTCAAAATATGAATACAAAAATCTTTAATAAAATATTACCAAATAGGATTCAGCAATGATAAAAATGAATTGTATACAGTGACCAAGTAGCATTTATGCCAGAGGTGCACTGTTCAATATAAAATATCAATATTCAAATACCAAAATTCATATAAATCAATGTAATACAGTATATTAATAGGCTAAAGGAGAAAATCATATGATCATATCAATCAATACAGAAAAAGCATTTGATAAAATTTAATACCTATTCATAATTTTTTTTAACTCTCAGAAAAAAAAGACTAGAGGAAAATTTCCTAACCTTGATAAGATAATCTACAACAAACCCATGGATATCATTATGCTTAATAATGAAAGACTAAGTGCTTTCCTCCTAGGTCAGGAATAAGGCAAAGATATCTTCTCTTCAGTCTTTTCAACATAATGTTGAAGGTTATAGACAGTGCAATAAGGCAAGAAAAAGAAGTAGAAGGCATACAAGTTGGAAAGGAAGAAATGAAAATGTCCCTGTTTGCAGCTAACATGCTTATCCTTGTAGAAAATCCCAAAAGAGTTAACAAAAAACTCCTAGAACTAATAAGTGAGTTCAGTAAGGATACAAGATAAACATTTAAAACTCTATTGTTTTGATTTTTAATATTTATATGAACATGTTTTTATATTTCTATATGCTAGCAATGAACATATGGACACTAAAGTCAAAAATAAAGCACCACTTACAATTAGTTAAAAAAGCGAAATCTAAAAAAACTTATACAGAACTTGTATGCTGACAACTACAAAACAATGATGGAAGAAATCAGGCTGGGCGCAGTGGCTCACACCTGTAATCCCAGCACTTTGGGAGGCCGAGGCAGGAGGATAATGAGGTCAGGAGTTCAAGACCAGCCTGGCCAATATGGTGAAACCCCATCTCTACTGAAAATACAAAAAAAAAAAAAATTAGCTGGGTGTGGTGGCACGCACCTGTAGTCTCAGTTACTGGGGAGGCTGAGGCAGAAGAATTGCTTGAACCTGGGAAGCAGAGGTTGCAGTGAGGAGAGACTCCATCTCAACACACACACACACACACACACACACACACACACACACACACACACAGAAAAAAAAAAAGAAAAGAACAAGAAATCAAAGAATGTCTAACTAAGTGGAGGGACATATCATTTTTATGATTTGGAAGACTCAACATAGTAAAAGATGCCATTTTTACCCAAATTTATATACAAGTTTAATGCAATTCCTATAAAAATCCTAGAAAGATTTTCTGTAGGTATAGATAACGACTATTCTAAAATTTATATGGAAAGGCAAAATAACTGAACACAAAAATTAGCTAAACAAAGAAAATCTTGGAAATGGAGAATAAAGTAAGAAAATCAGTTTACCTGTTTTCAAGGCTTTTAATATAGTTACAGTAATCAAGACATGGTATGACACATAGATAATGCAATAGAACAGAAAACACAGAAATAGACCTACACAAATATGCCCAACCGATTTTGATAAAGGTTTAAAAGCAACTCCATGGATGAAAGACAGGCTTTTCAACAAACTGTGTTGGAGCAATTAGACATCTATAGACAAGAAGGAGGAGAAGAAGGAGAAGGAGGAGAAAAGGGGGCAGAATAGGGGAGGGCAAAGTGAAGAAGGTGAAAGAGAAGAAGGGACAGGAGGAGGGTAAGGAAGAGAAGGAGGGAAGGAGGAGGAAGCTGTTCAACCTCAATTTTTGTCTTTAAGCCAAAATTAAGCAAATTAAGTCAAAACAAATCACAGATTTAAATATAAAACGTAAAACTATAAGATTATTTTTAATGGGAGAAAATCTTTGAGATTTAGGGCCAGATAGAGATCCTAGACTTGACAGGTAAAGCACAATCCACAAAAGGAAAAATTTATTAATTGAAGTTCACCAAAATTACATACTTCTACTTTATGAAAAATGATCTGTTAAGAAGATAAAAAGACAAGCTACAGAGGATGAGAAAATATTTGGAAACCACATATTTGACAGTTAGTATCTGGAATATATAAAGAATTCTCAAATCTCAACAGTAAAAAAGAAACAATCCAATTAGAAAATGTGCAAACATGAAGAGACATTTCATCAAAGAGAATATATAGATGGCAAATAAGCACATGAAAAGATGTTAGCTATTAAGGCAAGGAAAATTAAAACCATAATTAGATAACACTATGGATCCCATCAAATGCTGGTGAGGATGGAGAAAAAGCTGGATCATTCATATCTTGCTGATAGGGAGGTAAAATGGTACAGTCACTCTGGAAAAGAGTTTGGTAGTTTCTTTACAAACACTATATGACCCAGAAATTGCACTCCTGGACTTTTATCACAGAGAAATGAAAACTTATATTCACACAAAAACCCATACACAAATGTTTATAGCAGCCTTACTCACAACAGGAGAAAACTGGACACAACCCAGACCCTTCAACAGCTGCGTGGTTAAACAATCTATGGTACATCCATACCATGAAATACTACTCAGCAATAAACAGAAAAAAGTTACTGATACATACAATGACATGGATGACTCTCAAAAGAGTTACATACTGTATAATTCCATGTACATAACATTCATAAAATTATGAAACACAGGCATAGAGAACATATTAGTCTCATTGCCAGGGTTAAGGAGGAGGTGGAAGCAAAGGGGTAGTGGCTATAAAAGGGCAACATGAGAGAGCCTTGGGATGATGGACTTGACTGTATCCATGTCAGTATCTAAATGATCACTTTTAATACTCAGGCATATGTAACCAAAGTTTTAAAACTCTTCCTGAGCATGAATGATTTCAAGGAAAGATAATTTTTATTCAGTGGAAGTGGTCCCATACCACACCTTCTCAGCATAAAAACTATTTTATTTGAGAACTCTTTCTAGAATGTCCTAATCCCATTCTCTGCCCCACTCGTGAATTGCCAACCCTTCCTTCTCAATGCTTTGGCTGTTCCTGAGAGGTTTCTCCTCTAAATACAGAAGAGACCATATTCAGCTTTGTTCATAAGAGCCAGTGAAATCATAACAGTGACGCTCTGGTTTTGTCTGTGGTATTTTTTTTAAGGCAAATACCCTACATCTGGAATATACCACAAGGGAGTTACTGAGTGTTAGCAGCAAGGTGACCCTAAAGGGAATGGAGTGCTCATTCTGGGATATCTGAAGTGAGTGATGGAGTGGAGCAGAAAATTGATAGTATGCATATAGATAATGGAACCTGGGGCCTGTCAACGTCAGTTGTTTGTTCATTTGTTCTGCCCTCAACATCTCAGTATGGGTGATGCAGACTAATATTGGGACATTTTAGATGAGTCTATTCTACAGAGAAATTATTGCATTCCCTGCCACCACCCTATACCCCAGTTTCTCCAACTGAAAAATAAGCACCTTTGATCTGGCTTTGGTTCATAGGAGTATTAAGAAGTACAGTGATGTTTCTGCAGCACCTCAACACCTTTTTTTAAAAACCCTGCATAAATAAATAAAAGACCACTCTGTAAGAAGCAACTTCAAGTTCATTAATCACCCAGATCCTTGTAAGGCTTTCTATAAATATTTAACAAAAGTAGACAAATGGCTAGCAACATGAGGGAGTTGCAATAGACTTTGAAAAGAAAAAACTCACAGAAAACTAAGACTTAAATGGAGCACCTGATAAAGGGATTCCATTTTGACCATACAGTCCTACTGCTTGAAGGACTGATTCCCAATGGCATATTTCTCATCACGTGTACCTCACTCTATGACTCAGCAATCCTACTCTTAGGTACTCAACCCAAATAAATGAAAACATGTATCCACTGAAACATTTGCACAAATAAATGTATAGCAGCCTTATGCATAAAATCCAGAGAAGGCCCAAGTGTCAATTAACCAGTAAATGAATAAGCAGATTATAGTATTTTTAAACAGTAGAATACTACTTAGGAATAATTAAAGAACAAACTACTACAAGGATATATTTTTAAAACAATATGTGGAGCAGAAGAAGACAGACATGAGAAAGTACATACTACTCTTTGATTTCATTTATAGGAAGTCCACGACAGACAAAACTAACCTGTTGTGAGAGAAATCAGAACAGTGGTTGTGTCTGGCAGGCAGTGGAGGTGGGGTTACAGTTGTTGGGAAAGTAAATAACTGGAAAGAGGAATGAGGATACTTTCTGGGGTAATGGAAATGTTTTATATTTTGTTTAGGGAGGTGGTTTCACCAGTGTATACAATTATTGAACTCCTCAAACTGAACATTTAAGATCTGTGCATACTATTGTATGTAAATATATCTTAATAAATAGGGCTTTTTTTAAGTGTGGGGCCCATTCATTTCCAAGGGCAGGGAAACTTTATCTCCACTGAATAAATTTTGAATGGGCAGTGGGAAACAAAATAAAGTTTTTTTTGATCACATCCTTCGATTGTGCTTGTTGAAGATATCAGTTAAATGCACTGCTTATTTTGTCCAAGAAAGGCGGAAAGAAAGGAAGAAAGGGAATGCCTGACACCTGCCCTGACTTTTCCTGTTTAATATACTCACTTCCCTCCCTCTCAATGCCATTATTCTGTCCATTGAGCATTTCCTCAGGGACTCCTCGTCTCCCTTCTTCCCAGGTGCTTAATGATCCCCTGGACAGCCCTGAGGTGGTTAGGTGAGTAGAGATAAATGCTTAAAGCACACAGAGGGTGGCCCAAGGCACTGTATAATTAAGGGTTGATTTGCATGGTGTCTGTTCTAAGCTCCAAAACTAACTTAGGGGAAAATTCCTCTTCTGAGGGGAATTAGCGGGGAGGTTTCCCTGAGCTAATGGGGTGAGTATATTTTGAAGAACTGAGAGAATTTGACCAGCAGAGACACAGAAGAGGACAATTCCGTAAAGAGGGTGTCTTCACCAAAGGCACAGAATCAGAAAAGCACCAAGCGTATGGGGAAAATAAAAAAGTATTAGATATAGCTACCATTTGTTGAGCCTCTTTACCACCAACTTTACACCTACTTATTTATTCAAATTCAGGACACCTCCTAATTTCACAGATAAGAAAATGAAAACATAGGATGATTAGGGAACTTTTTCAAGGTCTCCTAGCTAGCAAATGCAGAGTTGAACTTTGTGTCCAGGTCCTTAACTCACACACTTGCAAACCACACCGTAATGCTATTGCCCCATGTTTCTGCAGATGAGATTGCAACAGGGTCTTAAGTAAGGCATTTTTAGCATACAACGAGATATCAATTAATTTATTAATTAGTTAAAACAGACAAAGGGATTGTTTAGAAAAATTGAAATGACGTAGAATGAAAAGTAGGGAGACAAGAACATAAAGGACTTTGAATAACATGCTAAGGGGTATCAATTTTATTACAGTAGAGGAAAGTCATTAAAGTTCCTAGAGTAAAATCATGTGAATGTGAAAGAAATGTTTTCAGATCATTCTGACCTGGATGAACAGAGTAAACTAGGTGGGAACCAACAGCAGGGGTAGGGAGTAACAGGATAATAGTATATTGTATTAGTTCCAACAAGGGTCCATTTCAGTATCTAAAGTAAGGGGACAGTAGTGAGAATAAAATTTTGGAAAATATTCAAGAGACATTATGAAAGAAATATGCTGAAGACCTAGTGTCTAGTAGAATGAAGGACTGAGAAAGGTGAGCTAAGAAAAGAGAAGAGAGTTCTAAGGGTGAGGCCTTGGTCCTCGGGAAAATAGTGGATCTGTGACGGAAGTCAGGACAGAGAACTGGAATGAGGGTGGTCAGCTCATCAGTACAGTGCATTTGAGGCTTGAGATCTGGTGGGACTTGCAGGTGTTGTGAGATCTGTACAACAATAGTAAAAGAGCAAGGGATTGAGATCAGAGAACCAAACCTTGGGCAACAGAGCAGATGGTTAAGTGCTCGAACTCTACAGTCAGACAAAGCAGACCAGGATTTGACACCCACCAGCTCTCTGAGACTCAGGTCCTTCCTCTATAAAATGAAACGATTAATGTACCTGGTTTATAGGGTTGATAGGAGGATTAAAATGCACAATAAGTACTCAATAAATGTCAGCTCTGATTATTGAGGCATGTGCATATTTTGGGAGAAGGACAAGAAAAAGAAGCCTGGGAGACCCAGATGAGCAACAGCCAGAGAAATTTGGAAAAGACTTAGAAAGTGCCACATGGCATAGGCCTCAGAGGACTTAAGGAGAAATTGATAAAGATGGGATCAGAATGGGCCGCTGACATTGTCTATCAGTGGACTAAAGGAGAGAAAGCTGGATATCAGGGGACTGAAGAGATATGGGCAACGTCACAGCAGAGGCAGTAGATATAGACAAATGAGGTAGAAAGTAAAAGGAAAGAATTACTAGAAAAAGAGCAAACTCAAATGAAGATTGATTTTCAATATCAAGAAGACTGGATTATGATTGGACAGAAGTAAATCAAGTAAAGCTCCACTAAACAAGGAGATATAAAATACACTTATGAGGAAAAAATGATAATTAAGGAGCAAAACCCCAGATGGAGGCAGAGGGCAATGAAGTCAAGGGCAAATGTGGATGAATTAACCTGGGAAATAGAGAGGGAAATCTTATCTGCAGAGGATGGAGAGGAGACAAAGATAGAATCAGGTGTAAGAAGAAAAAAATGACTGGTGTTCTGAGGCTCGATGGATGGTAGGAAAAGATTTGACCCTACAGCTGAGACACTCCAGTCCTTTACACTTCCTTTAGTATTGACCTGTGAGAAGCATAACCAGTGGCCTCAGATGGCACGGAAACGAGCTAGTCACATCACTCATTCCCACTTGGCCCCAAGTCGAATACGCATACACAACCTTACTGACAAAGGGAGAACATTTTTGTTCCGTACAAGTAAATAGAATCCAAACGGGCTGTTCTGGGAGCTTCTCTCAGTTGCCACCTCCCCAAAATATTGTTCCAGATGCCCGGTAATAAGGGATCCCCAGGGTATTCCAAAAAAACTAAAGAAGAAGTTGAAAAGTTTAGATTGTGGACTTGGTGAGGGGTGTGACCGTCACTGAACACAGTCTGGATCAATGATTTCTATGAAAACTTCCAATGCCCCAGTTCTGTGATGCATGTGGCTTTGAAGACTTGAGTCTCACAGGGGCCTAATTCAACATTTGGCAATCCTTTAGAGTATGTGGTGCTTGGCATTTTCATCGCTTCATTATTTAAAGGGCAATTCATTATGTGCAATGGAAACAAATAAAACTCTATTTCTGACATTTCTAAATCTGAACCCTGAACCCTCAATAAACCTTCCAGTTTCAAAATAATTATTTAAGCAAAGCCCTGGTGTATTCACTCCAAACCATTGAGTGGTGTTCCTAATGGTTGGTGAGGCAATCTCCAATGCTGAGACTTGGGTATTGAAACTTCCCTGAAGAATATTAAATAGTCCCCTACGCTGCAACCCATTAAAGGCAATCTTGTCCTCACAGGCCTCAATCAAATTTGCACAGCAATTAGTCCTGCACGGGGTTTGATACATTTCTTAATTATAAAACAACTTTGTACTCTATTGGCTCGTTCAGATGGGTTAAGAGAACATTAATTACCTCCTCCTGAGACATCAAAGAGTTTTTTTTTTAATCCCCATTTTAGGGATGAATAAAGCAAGATGACGGGAGGAACTAATGTCTATTGAGCACCTACTATGTGTTCAGTGGACTTTGTGGTGATTTACAGACATATAAATAAGCATTTATTATGAGGTAAATTATTACTCCTGTTTTACAAAGGAGGAAAACAAGTTTAGAGAAGCTGGATTATCTGACGTTGTTCACATTGCCAGTACATCGGTTGGTCTGCCTGAAAATCGTGTTTTGTATGTGGTGGCCCCTGAAACTGATGATGTTCTCCCTGACTTTCTAAAATTATTGAGGCCTGGCTTGGTGGCTCATGCCTGTAATCCCAGCACTTTGGAAGGCCAAGGAAGTCAAGGTTACAATGAGCTATAGACCTGCTCCTGCACTCCAGCCTAGGAGACAGAGCGAGATCCTGTCTCTAAAGTGAAAATAAAAATAAAACTGTTATTCATCATGCTTTTTTTGAGCACTTTGTGTATGCCAGACAGTGTGCTAGGGGCACTGAAGAATAAAATGACTGGGTCCCTGTTCCCTGCGGACCAGCCATGAGACAAACATCTCCTCTCTGGCGCTTCTGTAATGGAAAAGCTGTGGGAATGCTGAGCAGGGAGTCAGTTTAGCTCAACCAGCTCAACCCGGAGTGGGCGCGGCCCTCAGAGTTCACACAATCTAAGGTGCGTCTCCCCCGGCTCCAAATCCCCTGGAAATCGTCATCTCTCCATCTCACCCTGGTCTTAGGCATTACACAGGGAAGGAAGTTAAAACATGTCAGGAACGAGCTCCGGCAGAAAAAGAACCCAGGCATTCTTGTGGCCCCCGCTTTGGCATCAGAGAGTCCCAGCCTCCTCCTTCCCTTCGCTTGACTCAGGCAAACCCTCCTCGCGCTCTCTGCAGCATCCCTCCCCCACCTTCAACCAGTCTCGATTCTTTTTCTTTCATTGTAATCTTCCTAAATTGCACATTTCATAAGACCTTCAGGAAAAAAAGTCAGGAAATGAGGTTTAGAGGAAGAGGGAGGCGGAGAGTAGGGGGCCGGGTGGGGAGGGTGGAGGGGGAAGCAAACTCCAGGAGAGCTAGTCTTTCATTATCACGACCTGTTAGGCGCATATCCCATCCCTCTCCCTGTGCCACCCTCTCGCTGGATGCGAGCCATCCTCCGGGCTAATGAGCAGAGCACAGGAGATAACTAATCCTAATGCAATTACCGCTCGGCATTACACTGATAGGTTTGAGGCGCTCCCTGTGTGCCCCGCAGCCTGAGACAGGCTTGTGCAGATGTGCCTTCGTCTCCTGTCGGAGACGTTTTGACAGCTGTATACAGTGCCGGGCCCCCTCCCCCACGACAGCATCCCGGGAGAGTGATCTTTTAACAGCGAGTCCCCATGAAGCCTGTCGGAGGTGAAATGAAATCTTAGCAGCTTGGGGGAAGCCTGGTCGGGCCGTGCGCGTTCAGATGCTATTTCCAGGGCGGTGATGGAAGCGGCGGAGACGCGGGCCCCTTCTCTCCGGCCGCCCCCCACCCCCGCCGCTTCCTGAGAGCCTCACGGAGTGTTTAAACTGCAGTGAAAAATTAGAGTGCGCAGGCCCGGCCCTCTCCTGGCGGAGCTCTGCGCTCCCGTGATAGGGGGATGGTTTGCAGCACACATGTTCCTTTGTTTGGCGGGACCACGTGCTCTGTTTGCACAGCAGCATGTGGTACCACTGGAGGAAATCGAACCAACACTGAAAGTTCAAGGAACAGCCAAGCTCTGCTGGGAAGCGGCTGCGTCAGGGCCGGGATGAAGTGAGGAGGCAGGAGGCCGGCTGGACTCCCTCCGAGAAGCAGGGGGTGGTGGGAGGGTGACGGTGGGGCCAGCGCTATTTGGGATAAAGGGGACTGCAGGTTGCTGGCACCGAGCGCTCACTGGGAGGGTTTTCTGCAGTAACCAGCCAGTCCTGCCTGGGATGGGAAGTGCACTTTGATTATGATTATAACCGCTTGTATTTGAAAGAGCTTTATAGTTGATAAAGGCTTCTAGCAACCTTTTTTCATTTGATCCCTGTAAAATCATGTGATGCTAAAGTAAGTGCCTCTCTTTCTTGAGGTAAAGAAGGAGAGGGGAAGGGCTGGAACCCGTCAACCCTTGGCCGAGTGTCTGACCTTCCAGGAGGCCTAGTGGGGCAGCTCTGACCACGCTGATGACAAAATGCATGAAACAGTAATCGTTTGTCTTCTGCACATTGCGCACTCTCTCTCTCTCTTTCTTTCTCTCTCTCTCTCTCTCTCCCCACCACCACACACACCCCGCCCTCTGTTTAATTACAGAACAGTATATGCTGTGGGTAAAAAAAAATTCAAACAATACAGAAATATGAGATATATACATATATAGTATAAAATGGAAAGTCTCCAAACTCAAATTTCCTAAATAGCCATGGTTAAGAATTTCAGTCATTTCTTTATTTTTCCATGCATATCTGAACATATTTATGCAATTTATCAATATATGCATTTTTATTTAAAAAAATAGGAAATTACTACACATACCATTAATTTTCACCATATATCAAAGATGTCTTTCTGAAACAGAATATATAAATCTGTAGCATTGTTCTTTTTAAGAGCTGCATTATATTTCTTTGTATGGATATACCATTACATTATTGAATAATCAGATAGTTTCCAGTTTTTGTTTATACAACGTCAAACTAAACAGATTTCAACATATGTCGCACACTGTGAAAGTATTATTTTAGGAGGAATTTCTAAAATTGCTCATTCAAAACAGTGTGGAGTTAAAGCGAAGACACATTTTAAATTTCAATAGACATGGCCAAATCATTCAATAAAAATGTGACACTAAATTATAAGACACATAGAGAAGTTAACTGTTAGTGTATGACATTAGTGTATGAAAGTTAACTGTTTCCATACACACCTGACCTGGGTACTGCAAATTCAACAGAATGAAAAACTGATATTTATAAAGAATGAAGCTGAGCATATTTCTTATAAAATTTTTAGTGGCCATTTGTCAATTTGATTCTATAAGTTACCGTGTCTATTTTTTCTATTGGTCTGCTTTTCTTTTCTTATTAATTTGAAGAAATTCCCTTTAATATTTTGCAAGATTTTTTCCAGGTCATTTACAGTTTTTCAATTCTGTTATAGAAATATTCAGTACTTAATACAGTCAGATTTGTCAATCTTTACATTTATGGTTTTTAAGTTTCATGCCATGGTTAGAAAAACTTTCCCAAACTTCCAGAAAATTAAAATATTCTGCTATATTTTCATTTAACATCTTTTTTTTTATCATTTTATTTAGCAGATTTTTATTGAACAAGTAACATAGGCCAGACACTATTTCAGAAATTCGGTATATACACCTAGTCTCTGAATTCATGGAGCTTGTATTCTAGAGTGGGAGATAGGCAATAAACAAATGAATGAATAATTACAAAATTCAAAGCACTATGAAGAATTAATGGAGAATAACAGAGAATACCTACTTAGGGAGAGTGGTCATGGAAGGCAAGATTTAAACTAAGATCTGAGGGATGAGAAATAGTCATGGAGGTGAAGATCAATCCAGGCAGAAGGAACAGCATATGCAAAGGCCCTGAGGAGGGAAATAACTTGGAGTATTTGAGAAGTTGAAGAAGACCAGTGTGACTAGAACCTAGTGAGCAAAGTAGCGAGATAAAGAGCCTTATAGACCAAGATGAGGAAGAAAAGAGTGGGTGTCTTACAGACCCAGGTAAAAACTCAATTTTATTCTAAATGTAGTAGGAAGCCACTGAACAGCTTAAGGGGGGATATTAGTGATCTCGTTTGTGTTTTGAGTTATTTAAAGGAATGTTCTGGCTTCTTTAAGAATGATGTAAGGGGTGTAAGAGATGAAGCAGTTACCAGGAAGGATTCTGGGAAAGAGGACGGTGGCTTCTGAATGGTGGTCATGGGGAGGTCATTGCCATGACTTGCTGATGAAGTGGATGCAGGTGAAGAGGCAGAAGTAGTAATCCCACATAACTGCTGGGTTCTAGTTTGAATAATTGGGTATATGGTGATACCATTCCCTGAGAAACTTAGATTTGAGAATGATGTGGGGATGCGGAAGGGTTTAGAGATCACTTCTAATGTGGTGAGTTTAAGGTAATCATGAGATATCCAAGTCAGTCTATCAAGTAGGTGGTTGACTGCATAAATCTAGTGCTCAGAGGAGAAGACTAGGTAGGCTGTAAAAATTTAGAAATTGCTGGCCACTAGATATTTAAGTCTATGAAGAGAATATACAAGGAAGAGCAAGGCCTGACTACAAGTCCTGGGAAACTTCCTTATTTGCAGTTGAATGGAGGAGGAGAAGCCAGGAAGGAAGAAGGAGTAGGAGCAGTCAATGAGGTAAGGAGGGAAACAAGGAGATACTGACATCTCATAGATTCAGAGGAGGAGAAGTAAATGGCATCAAATGTTGCTGAGAGGATCTATAATATGAGGACTAAAACGAACCCATTAGAGTTGACAACATAGAGCTCACTGATGATATTGACAAGAGCAGTTTTAGTAGAATGAGGAGGTAGATGCTGTCATTGGAGAACCAGGGCAACCTCCCTGAAAGAAGACTAGGAATGTAATAGGGGACGTCTATAGATATAATGGCTTCATCTTGTTTTTCTCAAACTATGTTGTGCATTAGACTCATCTAGTCAAAAATACAGTTGCCCAGGCCCCAACCCCAGAAACTTAGTAGTTCTGGTTCAGTATTTTAAATAAGTACTTCAAGGGACCCAGATGCATAGCAAAGTTTGAGAATCATGGCCTTAACCTGAGGTTAGATTTCTCAGAATGGAATTTCAGATTCCATGCCTTATTGAAAGAGGAAAGATTTGAGGACAAAAGGCCTTTCAGTGACTTTCAGATCACGTCACATAAGCAACTACCTACTCTGATGAAAAAAGTGACTGTACAGCCAAATAATCAGTTGGCCTTACAGTCAAGAGTTTTGACCCGAACATAAATTGGATTCACTAACTATAAGCTGAACTCTTTACTTCCCCTCCCACCTCCCTGTTTGGATACAGCTGCAGGTAGACTAAAATAATAGGGCACAAATGGATTTTTTTTAAAGAAGTTCTCCTGAGAATTCAAAGATATCTCTTCTTCTGTTGTTCTTCCAACTGACTACAAGGTCTAAGACTGAGACCACGTCCGTAAAGGCAAAATAACTTCAGAATTCAGAGTCAACTCCCTTTTATTTAGCATAGACATTCTAGGCAAGCACTTTTATAAATGTTATCTCAATCAATCCTCACATGAACCTTTTGAGGCAATTACTTGTATTTCTATTTGGTGGATGAAAACCTGATTGAAATAAATGGTGCTGAAATCAGTTAATAAAGATGTCTCAAAAATAGCATTCTTTGGCTATATATAGATTTAGTCTGTGTTACTCTGGCTATTGAAAGAAGAGTGGGTGGTTCATTGCCCAAATGATTCTGATATTTGCCTTACCATACCCTCCTGGCCCTGCTGGGTAGACCTGGTTGTTAATAGCCTGGGATCCATTACCAGCTGAATTTTCATGCTTTCCCAATTTGAACATGGAGCCTGGTGTAGTGCAATGCATATGCATGAGGTTTGGGACCAAATAACCAAGGGTTCAAATCCTGGCTCTTCTCCTGAGTAATTTTGTTGCCTTGGACAAGTCATTTAACTTTTTTAAGCTCCATCGTCCTCATGTGTAAATCAAGGAGATCTCATACATATTAAATATATATGTTTTATATACTGTATGCTCTATAATCAATAACTATTATCATTTATACCAAACCCCATTATACCCCTCATTCAAGTCTAAATTCCAACTAAATCTCTCAAAGGCTATCTTGCTGAAATACTCTTTTGGGAGGTACTGCTATTTCTTATTCTTTTCTAACCCCTGAAGGGTGTTATTTCAACCATGTTCTGCCCCTTCCCCAAGCCCAACATAGCTGCCTCTCCATCACAAGATCTTATTTTGGATCCTAAAGAGATGTTGTGTTCAGACCCCTTCTACTCCACTTCTTTCTAAATCTAGTATTTAGGTAGAAGAATCTATCTAATGTAGTATTTACACAGCTACCCAGAAAAATTGAAAAAAGTGAAGGACTTTTCCAAAATTAACTAACTTCATAGCAAATACATCATCAAGTCTCTAGCATGTAAAAATAAAATATTTTCCAAAATTTATCACCTGGCCATGCAAACAATGGTTGGGTACTTCTACAGATAGAGAACTCCTTATCTCCAGAGCAATACAATCATTCCATGGCTCTGATTAGTAGAGGCTTCTTTCTTATGTCCATTAAAATCTAGTTCCTATAGCTTCCATCCTACCCTTAGAGACCTTAAAGAACTTGCCTTTCAAATATTAAACAAAAACCAGCACAG